>NW_012132920.1:300000-529084 GCF_000001405.40 Homo sapiens
CCCAGTTCCAGAGTGCATAATTGGAATGGACATATTCAGCAACTATCAGAATCCCCACATTGGTTCTCTGACCTGTGGAGTGAGGGCCATTATCATAGGAACTGCCTGTACCTAAACAATGTAAACCAAAAGCCATACTGCATTCTTGGAGAGATTACAGAGATTAGTGCTACTCTCAAGGACTTTGAAAGATGCAGGCGTGGCAGTTGCTACCATATCCACATTCAATTGTGCTATTTGGACTGTGCAGAAGACAGATGGACCTTAGAGAATGACAGTGGATTCATGAGCTTAATCAAGTATTAACTTTAATTGTAGCTGCTTTAGCAGATGTGGTTTCATTACTTAAGCAAATTAACACATCCCCTGGTACCTGGTATCTGAGATCTGGCAAATGCCTTTTTTTTTCTGTATCTGTTTCGAAAGGCCATTAGAAGCAGTTTGCTTTCAACCTGCAAGGCCAACAATACAAATTGAGTGTCCTATCCCAAGGGTATATCAGCTCTCCAGCCCTGTGTCATAAATTCAGTTCATACAGAACTTGAGGCCTTTTCCTTCCACCAGATACCACGCTGGTCCATTATCTTAATGACATTATACTGATTTAACCTAGTGAGTGTGAAGTAGCAACCACTCTGAACTTATTGGTAAGACATTTGCATGTCAGAGGGTAGGAAATAAATCCAACTAAAATGCAAGGGCATTCTACCTCAGTGAAGTTTCTAGGGGCCTAGTGCTGTGGGGTGTGTCAAAATATCCCTTGTAAGGTGAAAGAGAGTTGCAACATCCCGTCCCTCCTATAACCAAGAAAGAGGCTCAAGGCCTAGAGGCCTCTTAGTATTTTGGAGGCAACGTATTCCTCATTCAGGTCCAACCCATTTACAAAGTGAACTAAAAAGCTGCGAGTTTTGAGTGGAGCCTAGAAAAGAGAAGGTTCTGCAAAAGGCCTACATTACTGTGCAGCTGCTGTGCCCCTTGAGCCACATGAGCCATCAGATCCAATGGTACTTGAAGTGTCAGTGGCAGGGAGAAGTGCTGTGTGGAGCCTTTGGCAGGCCCTTTTAAGTGAATCGCAGTGCAGACATAGGACTCTGGAGAAAGGATCTGCCATCCCCTGTGAATAACTACTGTCTTTCTGAGGAACAGCTTTTGGCCTATTCCTGGGCCCTTTTAGAGCCTGAACACCTAATCCTGGTCCATCAAATTACCATGCAAGCTGAGTTGGCCATTATGAGCTGGGTATTTTCTTACCCACCAACTCAAGAGGTAGATGTGCACAGTAACAATCTATCGTCAAATGGAAGTAGTATATGTAAGATTGAGCTTGAGCAGGCCCTAATGGCACAGTTAAGTTACATGAAGAAATGACACAAATGTCCATGCCTTCCGTAGAAGCCTGAACCTATGGCCTCATGGAGAGTTCCCTATGATCAATTGTAGAGGAAAAGAATCTCAAGCCTGGTTTACAGATAGTTCTGCAGCATATGCAGACACTACCGAAAAGTGGACAGCTGCAGCACTGCGACCCTCTCTGGATCATTCCTGAAGAACACTGATAAAGAAAAAATCCTCTCCATGGGCAAAACTTCAAGCAGCACACCTGGTTGTTCACTTTATTTACAATGAGAAATGGCCAGCAATGAGATTCTATACTGATTTATGAGCTGTGGCAAATGGTTTGGCTTAATGGTCATGTCCTTAGAAGGAACAATATAGGAGTATTGGTGAAAACGAAGTATGGAGAAGAGGTATGAGAGTAGACCTCTTTGAATGGGAGAAAAACATGAAGATATCTGTGTCCCATGTGAATGCTTACCAAGATTTTAGTAATAAAATGGATAGAATGACTCATTCTGTGGATACAGTCAGTTTCTTTCCCCATCCACATTTGTCATAGTCCAATGGGCTCTTTGCCATTGTGGCAAAGATGGGGATTATGCATGGGCTTAGCAACACGGACTTCCACTCACCAAGGTTGACCTGACTATGGCCACTGTTGAATGCTCAATCAGTCAGCAGAAGAAACAGCACTGATTACTTGATACAGGATCATTCTTCGAGATGATCAGTCAGTAACCTGGGGCAGGTTGATTACATTCTATTGCTTCCATTATGGGAAAAGCAGGGTTTTGTTTCTACTAGACAAGGCACTTACCCTGAATATGTATTTTCCTTCCTTGCATGCAATGCTTCTACTAAGACTACAATCTGTGGACTTACAGAATGCATTAGTCACTGTTATGTTATTCCACACAGCATTGTTGCTGATCAAGGAACTCACTTCACAACAAACAAAGTGCAGCAACGGGCTCATGCTCATGGAATTCATTGGCCTTTCTATGTTCCCCACCATGCTACAAAAGCAGGCTTGGTAAGATAGTGGAATGGCTCTTTGAAGACTCAGTCACAGAGTCAGCTAGATGGCAATACCTTGCATGGCTGGGACAAAGTTCTCCAAAAGGCTGAATATGCTTTAAATCAGTGTCTAATATATGGTTCTGTTTCTCCCATGGCCAAATGCATAGGTCCAAGAATCAAGGGGTAGATATGGGAGTGACACAACTCACCATTACCCCTGGTGACCACTAGCGGAATGTTTGCTTCCTGTTCCCATGACTTTATACTCTGCTGGGCTAGGGGTCTTAGTTCCAAAGGGAGGAATACTTCCACCAGGAAACAAAATGATTCCATTGAACCTGAAGTTAAGAGTGCCACCCAGTCATCTGGGGCTCCTCATGCCTCTAAATTAACTGCCAAAGAAAGTTATCATGCTGGCTGGAATGATTGATACTGGTCTGGCTGGATTATCAAGGAGAAATTAGACTGCTACTCCACAATGGAGGTAAGGAAAAGTATATCTAGAATTCAGAAGATCCCTTAGGGAATCTCTTAGTATTACCATGCCCTGTGATTAAAATCAGAAGAAAACTACAACCCAATCTAATGTTTCAGATGACTCTCCAGGAATGAATGTTTGAGTCATCCCCCCCAAAAAAGAGCTACAACCAGTTGAGGTGCTTGCTGAAGGCAAAGTAATACAGAATGGGTAGTGGAGGAAGGTAGCTATAAACACCAGCTACGACCACATGACCAGTTATAGAAACAAGGACTGTAAGGACTGTAATTGTCATGAGTATTTCTTTTCTTCTTCTTTCTTTCTTTTTTTTTTTTTTTTGAGACAGAGTCCCGCTCTGTAGCTCAGGCTGGAGTGCAGTGGCACGATCTAGGCTCACTGCAACATCTGCCTCCCAGGTTCAAGCAGTTCTCCTGCCTCAGCCTCCTGAGTAGCTGGGATTACAGGTGTGCGCTGCCATGCCCGGCTAATTTTTGTACTTTTAGTAGAGAGGGAGTTCCACCATGTTGGCCAGGCTGGTCTTGAACTCCTGACGTCAGGTGATCCACCCGCCTGGGTCTTCCAAAGTGCTGGGATTACAGGCATAAACCACCATGCCTGACTGAGTATTTCTTTCTTAATTTGTTATTTATATGTCTGTGTGTGTCTCTGTGTGTAAGTGTATATATATCTTTTGTTCTCTCTCTTATTCCCTTATTATGTAACATAACAAGTATTGACTTTTTTTTTTTTTTTTTTGAGATGGAGTCTTGCTCTGTCACCCAGGCTGGAGTGCAGTGGTGTGATCTCCGTTCACTGCAAGCTCCGCCTCCTGGGTTCATGGCATTCTCCTGCCTCGGCCTCCCGAGTAGCTGGGACTACAGGCACCCACCACCACGCCCGGCTAATTTTTTGTATTTTTAGTAGAGATGGGGTTTCACCATGTTAGCCAGGATGGTCTCGATCTCCTGACCTCGTGATCTGCCTGCCTCAGCCTCCCAAGGTGCTGGGATTACAAGCATGAACCACCACGCCTGGCTGACTTTCTTTCATAGTAGTTAAATATTGTCATTTTACAACATGATATTTAAGTTTTGGGATATAAACGAAAAATATAAACATCATCCAATTATTTTGCTTATTTTTCTGGGGAAATATTTCATGTGTTTTTGGTTGTACACAGGATGTTTGCACCATGTTAGGCAGAAGAATGACCTTGTTATTATCTCTTCAAGATGTGCATGGTTGTCAGGTTGACAAGGGATGCTTATGATGATTAATTTTGTATCAACTTAACTGGGCCATAGGGTGCCCAGATATTTGGTTAAACATTATTCTGGGTGTTTCTATGAGGGTGTTTGGAGATGACACTTAACATTTCAATTGGTAAAGTGTATTGCCCTCCATAATGTAGTTGGGCCTCATCGAATCATTTGAATTCCTGAACAGAACAAAAGGCAAACCATACCTTGAGTAATGGAAAATTTTCCAAAAGAGTGCTTTTGGGCTTCATCTGTACCATCCGTTCTCCTGGATCTTACTTCAGATTTGAACTTTGAACTTGCCAGTTTCCAAAATTGTGCAAGCCAAATCCTTATTACATATAACATATGTAATATATTGTATATTATATACACACACACACATATATGTGTGTGTATTTTATGTGTATTTCTCTCTCTCTCTCTATATATATATATAGCAAACAACAACAAACATCGAAAGGCATACAAAGGAGGAAAGTATGGGCTATTCACACACAGAAAAGAAAAAACAGAAACCATCAAATATATATATATATATATATATATATATATATATATATATATATATATATATATACAGAAAGAGAGAGAGAGAGAGAAAGAGAGAGAAAGACAGAGAGACAGAGAGAGCGACAGAGAGACAGAGAGATGTGTGTAATACTCTCAGGAGAACTGTGACTAATACAAGTGGCCTAATGCTAAGTCCAAAGAAGCAACTCTCCTGGGCTTTTAGTGGTGCAGGCTGTCTTTGGGTGTCATTTCTAGACATTAAATCCAGCTGTCTCACTCCTGTCATGGATTAAGCAATTTAATGCCTTGTGCAAAGTCCTTCTCTGCTTAAATTAGTTAGTCAGGAGCCTTTTATCTGTGAATACATTTTCACTGACACACAGAGGGATTATCATGAAGTCATTACAAATATTGTGATTGGTTCATGTCCTTCAACACATAGTAAGTGGCAAAAAATGGGCTGCAAAAACATTACATATACAATGATAAGAATAAAGGGAAAAATAAAATTAAAATTACATATTATAAGAATGTGTTTGTGTATGTGTGTGTATATATCTCTCTCTATATATCTATATATATCTCCAATCCTCCCTCTGACCTATGTACTATTTTTATACACTACAATTTTACATATGCTTTAGACACAAAATCTGTTATTATTTTTGCTTTAAATAGTAAGACTTTAGAGAAATCAAAAATGAGAAAGCCAGTAAATTTTATGTTACCTTTGTTCATTTCTACTGCTCTTCATTTTAAAAGATTAGGAGTGTGGTTACATGATAGGACTAGTTAAGTAGGGAGCTCCAAGAATTGGTTCCTCCACTGAAGCCACCATTAATCTTAGAAAAACTGGCAGAATCCACTTTTACTAAAACTCTGCAATCTAATTCAACACTTACAATAATCAGAGAATATCTATTGAAAAAAGAGAAAGCTGAATTTTAGTAAGAAAAAACTGTGGCTTTTTTCTGACCCACAGACAATTCTTGATTCCCTAGATCACCAGTGGTCCTGGGAATCACAACATGAATTTATGATGTGGCTTGCTGGTGCCACTGCCTGGGTGGTAGGTGGCAGAATATAGACCTTGTTCTGAAAATAAATTGTATTTGTAGGTTTTGACTTATGTGGCAGTTCCCTGAGAGACCAGCACAGAGGCTGACCATTGTTTCATCTCTTTCTGCTGGAGGAGCCTTTTAGGTATCATCTCATGAAAGTGTTTGGAGTGCTACCCATAGCCACCTAAGACAAGTGATGGAGGACGGAGCAGATACCAGATGGTCCTAAAGGTCTGGGAATGAGGTGGCTACTGAGGTAGACTCTTGAGGAAGTAAAGGCACTGCACATAATGAGTAATCTGGAGTGTAAAGTCTACACCCAAAGATAAATACATTCTCATAAAAAGAACTGACAGTGCCCTAGACTTGCAACTCTGGGTATCTTTGGGCATGGAGCTTCATGAAAGCTAAGGCTGAGTTATAGGTGGGCTGTCTAAACAATAAAGTATTGTACCAGCTCAGGGCCAATATGAAAAGACCAAAATCTTTTTTTTGTTGTTTTTTGTTTTGGCTCCAGGCATTTAAGGAAATCTCTATCAGGTCACAGGTCAAATGAGGAAATAATGAAACAGATTGCAAGACTATGTACAATAAAGAATGCGGTCTTCATAAAAATACTTTGCAAAAATAAAAAAACAGAATGCAGTTCTTTACTATCACCATCAACAAACCGTGGGGAGGGGGAAGGATCTGATTATCATAGTTACAATATTATAATATTCACAGCGTCAAGTTTTCAACATCAACAACAAACATCAAAGGCATACAAAAGAGGAAAGTATGGCCTATTCACACACAACAAAGAAAAAACAGACAGAAACCGTCAATGATAAAGCCCTAACATCGGATTCATTAAACAAAGAAATTAAATTAACTATCTAAAATATGCTCAAAGAGCTAAAGTAAATCGTGAACAAAGGAAACTGTGAACAGGAGAATTACATATGAAAAAATAGAGAATAGCAACAAAGCAATAGATATTATAAAAAATGAATGAAGTAGACATTCTGAGCCTGAAAAGCATGATAACTGAAACAAATAATTAACCTAGAGAGGTTCACTAGTAGATTTGAGCAGGCATGAGAGAATCAGTGAATTTGAAGCTAGGACAATTGAAATTATCCAGTCTGGAGAGCAGAAAGAAAAAATAATAAAGAAAAATTTATAGAACCTAAGGGATAAGAAATTGTGGGGGGCAAAATGCAGTGGGATGACATATTTAAAGAGCTTAAAATAAAATAAAACTGTCAACCAAGAATTCTATGTCCAGCAAGCTATCATTCTCAATGAAATGAGAAATTAATACTTTCCCACATAAACAAAAGCTGAGGAAGTGTATCACTAGGAGGCCTGACCTCTCAGAAATGCTGAATAGAATCCTTCAGGCTGAAATAAAAGGAAACTAGACAGGAATTTGAACACATATGAAGAAATAAGAGCTCTGGTAAAGGTAACTATACAGGTAAATACATAAGCCAGTATTATTAAATTTTTGATGTATAACTCCTCTTTTTATATCCTATTTTATTTTAAAAACAAATGCATAAATAGTACTTTTAACTTTGTGTTAATAATCATGCAATGTATAAAAATGTTATTTGTGACAACATAAAGGGGGATACTGAACTGTACAAGAACAGAGTTTTTATATGCTCTTGAAGCTAATTTGATATCAATTCACACTAGATTATTTTAAATTTCAGATTTAAATGTAATCCCCATGGTAAGCACTAAGAAAATATCTAAAAATATACATAAAAGGAAATGAGGTGGGAATTAAAATGACAAACTAGAAAAAAAATCAATCTAACACAAAAGAAAGCAGTATTGGAGGTTATCAGTGAGCAAAGAGATAAAAGACATGCAAGAACTAAATTAAAAAATCACCAGTAGTCACTTTAAAGGCAAACGATTGAACTCACTAGTTAAAAGACAGAGACTGGCAGAATAGATTTTGTTTAAATGGTCCAACTATATGCTGTCTAAAAGAGACTCATTTTAAAGCCAAAGACACAAATATTATAGGTTGAAAATGAAAGGATATAAGAAGATAGTCCATGCAAATAGAGCTAGAGTGGCTACACTAATATTTGATAAAATAGACTTTGATTCAAAAATTGTTGCAAGAGACAAAAAAGGTATTAAATATTGATTTAAAAGATCAATTCACCAAGGAGATATAACAATTGTAAATACATATGTACCAAACAATAGAGCCCCAAAAGATATGAAACAAATATTGACAGAATTAAGGGAAGAAATAGATAGTTCTACTACAAAAATGGTTGGAGACTTTGTACTAGTTTTCTAGGGCTGCTATGACAAGCTGTCTTGAATTGAGTGGCTTAAAACAAAATAAATTTATTATCTCTGAGTTCTAAAGATGAGAAGTCTGAAATCAAATTGTTGGCAGGTCCATGCTCCCTCTGAAGTTCCTAGGGAAGAATTATTTCTTGCCTCCTCCAATTCTTGATGGTTGAAAGCCATCCTTAACATTCCCTGCTTTGTAGCACCATGACTCCAATCTGCCTCCATGTTTACATGGCCTTCTTTCCTGTTTATGTCTTCAGATTTCTCTCATCTTATAAGAACAAAAGTTTTTGGATTTAGGGATTTAGGATTTAGATTTTAATACAATAAAAACTCATCTTAGTTTAATTATATCGAGTTATGGCTTCAACATATTTTTGGCGGGACACAATTCAACCAACAACTGTGGTAATAGACATGTAAAATATGGTGAATGCATGATACTGACAAGGTGTGCACACAGCAACAAGGATATCTTAAAAACACTTATCTGAGGGAAAAAGGAAGAAGCAAAATTGCATTTACGTAATTTAAAATGTATGCATACAAAACAGGTCTACACATTTTATGATGTCATCTACAAGGAAAGAATGCATGCCAACTATTACATTAAATTAAATTAAAATGAAACCTGTGCTCAGGGGTAGAATGAAGCAGGAGATGGGGACTGATAAGGTTTGGATCTGTGTCTCTGCCCAAACCTCATGTCGAACTGTAATTCCCAATGTTGGAGGTGAGGCCTGCGGGAACGTGATTGGATCATGGGGGTGGTTGCTCATGAATGGTTTAGCACTCTCCCCTTGGTGCTGTCCCTATGACAGTGAGTGAGTACTTGCAAGATCTGGTTGTTGAAAAGTGTATGGCACCTCCCCCTTCACTCTCTCTCTCTTCTTCCTGCTCTGGTCATGTGATGTGCCTGCTCCCCCTTCTCCTCCTGCCATGATTTTAAGTTGTCTTAGGCTCCCCTGGAAGCTGAGCAGATGCTCAGCTATGTACTCAGCATCATGCCTTCTGCACAGCCTGCAGAACGGTGAGCCAATTAAACCACTTTTCTTTGTAAATTACCCAGCCTCAGGTATTTCTTCATAGCAATGGGAGAACAGAATAATACAGGAACAAAACATAAAATGAAAGAGAGGCTGTTCTCAAGTTAATAAGGAGCCTTGATCTGAGTGGTATGCTTGATGTCCTGTGCACCTGAGGTCCAAAAAAGAATTGATAATAAAATAAACACATAGAAATAATTGTCAACACTTATTTAGCACTTACCATGTGTCAGGTACTGTGCTAGCTCTTACAGACATACAAAGTAGGTGCTAGAAATACCTCCAGTTTACAAATGAGGAAACTGAGGCTCAAAATGGGAAGGCAAGTCATCCTAGGCAAGGCCACACAGCTGGTGGAGCCAGGAATTGAATTTAAAAATCTGGCTCCAGAGCCCTGTTCTCAGCCATGCATGAGAAAGTTGTCACGCATGCTATATGTCTGTATGTTCATATACAGTCCTGCATTATTTAATGATGAGGAGACATTCTGATAAATGCAACGTTAGGCAATTTTGTCATTGTGTGAATGTCATAGAGTGTACTTACACAAACCTAGATGATGTATATGCATATTATTATATGTATATTATATATATTTATAATATTATATACTTATATATTTATAATATTATATACTTATTTTATATATATTTTTTACATGGAAAACCAAATGTCCCAGCATCATTACTAAATATCAGTCATTTCCCCTACTTGATCTGCAATGCCAATAACAAGTGCCATAAGTTAGGTTTCTATATATGCTCCATTATAATATTATGGGACCACCATCATATATGTGGTCCATTGTTGGTTGAAATGTTGTTATGTGGTACATGACTATATATTCTACCTGTCTATCTATCTTATCAATGTCTAACTAACACAGTAAAAGTATTCTTAACAACTTTATTTCTTGTTTGAGCTCTTAAATGGCATTTTGAAATGTTGTAATATCAATCAATATAAACTTATAGAAATATTAATCATTGAGATTAAACCAAACCAAATCTCTAGGCCAAATCCCTATCAATCTCTTTAAGAAGAGTATCGGATGGTAGTTTGTTCTGTATTTGTGATTATCTTAAAATAGTATGTAATGTAATATAGGAGAGAAAAATCATGAGTATTGAGTTTTCCTTTTGTTTGGAAAATGGCTAAATTGTATCTTATTGAAACTTGATACTATAGATTGATTCCCTTTTCAAATTCCCTTGGATATGGATTTTGTTTGATCTTGATTCCACATTCTCAATACTGAAAGTTTTCTTTGATGCCAGACATCTGGGGGTCACTTAACAAATGAAACAGCAGGGACTCATTTAAGTACCCAAATCTACCTTAGGTCCTAGAGATTGCAGCTGCCCCAGATGTGTACAAATCTGAAGTCACAGAATAAGGACTACAAGATTATCAACAAAAGAATTAAAGTAGGTATGGATTTTACTCACTGCCATTTGACTTCCTTAGAGAGAGATGGCTTGTAGAAGATGTGGCATTTTCTATCTCTCCCCAGAGACACAGTGGGGACTCTGTTTAGTCCTCGAAGGGCACTGTTTATAATATGAAAATGTGCTTCTGGGAAGATTTCCTATGGCTACCACTTTCTCAGATGACCTGGTGCCATATTAATAAAATGTTAAACCCACAAACTCCTGATGAGTCAATAAATAATGTAGGCTGAAATCACTAAATATTATGCCTCTGGGGGCTGTTCCATCGAAATGTACTGATTCAACACTTTTCCGAGAAAGTTCTGCCTCATTCAGCATTCCTGCTGTGGAGTTTGCCAATCTGAATACCAAGGCCCTGGAAGGCTGCTGTCACCTTTCTCAGCACACAAATGATGGGGATGTAAGGCTGGTGCTCATGGAATTGCAATTGCCTCTTGTCTTTAAAGGCAGTTAATTTCTACCCAGTTTCTGAGACTGTGGAAGGAAAGCAGACAAGGTCTCTGCTTGACTAGTAGATTTTGCTCTTCCCCACCCTCACCATAAAGTTCAAAGGCACAAACTGAAAAGATTTTGAAAGCTGGCTCAAAGCCTTTTTCTTCTGTTAACAAAAAGTTAGAGTATTTTGCTTGGGAGGATCAGTTTCATAATTGTATCAGTGCTCCTATTCTAGAATTTCTAGAGCCAATTCTTCAGTAATGGGCATCTCAAGCAAGCACATGCAAGTTGTATGTTTATTAACAATTTTTTTTTAAACTGGCAACGCTTCTCATGTTCCCTTACAGAGGGAGGAAGACATATCTGGAGAGACTGTGGAAAGAGCAGAAGAAAACATAAACTGATTACACCCACAGAACAATTGCTGATGGAACATGAAGGATGCTTTAGGGAAAGCACCCTGATGTTTCACATTCAAATTGCCTCATCATGTGTTTTTAAGGTGCTGCCTGTCTCCAGGCACAGAGGTGCCTGGAACTAAAACCTCAGTGTTTGTCCTCTCTGTATTATCCTTGGCTCCAGAGCAAGGAGAGAGTTCCAGGACAGGTGTGTACAGTGTTTGCAGGTGAATCTGCATGTTGGTCTGTGCACTCGTTTCTCCTTTCCACCCCAGCAGTCAGTGGTGATTTATAAGCATCCTTCTGCATGCCCTTGTGATGTGAGGGAAAGAGCAGAAACATTTGGTTTAGAAAATAAATGGAGTCTAAGTAAGACCTTGAGCCTTTAGTGGGTTAGTTGTCAGCTTTTGGACAGATCCCTTTACCTTCTTACCCTTAGCTTTCTCCCCTATGAAACGGGGCCATGATCTTGTAAAAGGATGAAAATGACATGAGTAATTGCAAATAATTATAAACATCAGGGAAAATTCAATCTACATCTACTACGCCTTCCATTCCTTTTCAACTATGTTATACATTTCTTTTAACTTTAGCTATTCATGGTGCAAGGGATCTTCCAGATCTCTAGAAAGCTAATTCAAAGACTGACATTAGAAAACTTTACAGAAAAAAAAAGATTAAAGAGTTGCAGGCATGGGTGCAAAGAGCAACATAGCTGCTAAAGGAAGCTTGAAATCTTTGTCTAGTCCTGGGGACCCAGCTGGAGTTGTCAGGAATCAGCAGAGCAGGTGTTCAGCTGAGGTTTGGAAGAATTCTTAGCCCATTGAAATACTTTATGGGCCGGGCATGATGGCTCACACCTGTAATCCCAGCACTTTGGGAGGCCAAGGTGGGTGGATCACGAGGTCAGGATGTTGAGACCATCCTGGCTAACACGATGAAACCCTGTCGCTACTAAAAAATACAAAAAAATTAGCTGGGCATGGTGGCAGGCACCTGCAGTCCCAGCTACTTGGAAGGCTGAGGCAGGAGAATGGCGTGAACCTGGGAGGCAGAGCTTGCCATGAGCCGAGATCGTGCCACTGCACTCCAGCCTGGGTGACAGAGCGAGAGTCCGTCTCAAAAAAACAAAACAAAACAAAAAAACTTTATAAAGTCCTGATGCGGTGGCTTATGCCTGTAATCCCAGCATTTTGGGAGGCCGAGGTGGGCAGATCACTTGAGGTCAGGAGTTCAAGACCAGCCTGGCCAACATGGCAAGACCCTGTCTCTACTAAAAATACAAAAGTTAGCCGGGCGTGGTGGTGGGCACCTGTAATCCCAGCTACTTGGGAAGCTGAGGCAGGAGAATCGGGTGAGCCTGGGAGGTGAAGGTGGCAGTGAGCTGAGATCACACCACTGCCCTCCAGCCTGAGCAATAAAGTGAAACTCTGTCTCGAAAAAAAAAAAAAAAAAAAAAAAAAAACTTCATAAAAATGCTAAAATATTTATCCAGAATGCTCATTTATTTCTAGGATGAGGTTTATGCATTTCATCATGCAAAAAGTTCTGTTCAGGTCAGGACTAGAACAAATATTAATATATATTTACAAATGTTTGCAATGTACAAAAGGCTCTGTTAGTGATCTGCTGTAAAGAAAAAGAAAGGCTGCATCAGCCTTTGAAGTTTTGTTTGCCTTTGAAGCTGGAGGAAGTCATATTGCCTGAGTGCTGCTCTTCACATTAAGAAGGTAGGGCCACTTGAGGGACACCATCTGACAGGCTGCAATCTAGGAGAGACCTACAGGGTTCCAAAGGCTCAGTGTGCTAATTTCTGAAACAGGATAGAACCTCCCATCACCTCAGAGCGATGGGACGGCAGGCAGGCCTTGGCGAGCCTCACTTCATCTCCACCCTCTTCATGAAGCCCCTGACTTTTAGTTCTCTGCCTAACAGTCCAGAAGGGACTGGCCATTTCCAGCTAAAGGTCAGGCTGTCTTAGGCATAGTTGAAGTAACAGAATCATCCTTATTGCTGGTTGCTTTTTTCACTTTTATTTCTTTATTTCCTCTTCTCTTGAGGCTTTCAGAGGCACATTTTGGTGAGAGAAAATAAGTCTAAACATTTATGAATTAGAAATATTGGCTTCTGGCATCCTTGTGCCAGTTGTGTGGGAATCTATTTCTTAATAAGATCATAATTAAGAGCACGGTTGCAGATTGTGACTGTGTTTACAGGGGCCACTGAACTTGGCCTGTAAATAACAAACAAAGTCATAAAAACTATCCAGAGAATAAAAGGTGCGTCCTACAGTGAAGCCCTAAGAGACGGTAGTCCCCAGGCTGGCTGGAGAGCAGCACAGTAGCCACTCTGCTGCAGCGGGAAGGGATTGAGGAGATGTCACGGAGTCTGAGTGGCAGAGCCAGGGCCAGATCCAGCCCATGAGGTCACAGGCTGAGGAGTTTCTGAGTTTCAGAGCCACAGGCACAGCCCAACCCCAGGACTGAAAGATGCCAGTTACTCATCCAGTCCCCAAGGAGTTCCTGCCGCTGACCTTTGAGAGAGAAGACCCCAGGGAACAAGCCTTTCACCAGAAGGGGGAAACTGGAGCTTGAGTAGCTGACATTAAATACTCATGTTGTCTTTGGTTATAGATTTAATCTCCCTGACTCTGTTTATTTTTCGTTTTTGTCTTTCATCATGAGTATGTGGTCCTAAAGCAGTGAATCTCAAACTATGTTTCTAAAGCATCTGAACCTGCTGGGAAATGAAAAGTTACCCACTATTTAATATAAATATACATGCATATACACATACACATACAAATGCATATACAAATACATATGCAAATACATGCACAAGTGCATATACATGAGCATGTATCCACGCATATCATATACATGTACACATACACATACATACATATACACATATAGACATATGCATATACATAGACAAAAGTATAGCTGTTTTGGCTGAAGCTCCGGTCTCACTCACTCAACTCACACTCACCCTCTCCCTCGTCTGGCCTTCATAGTGACACCTAAGCACCCTCACAAAAAGCCTAGGCTCTGCCCAACTCCACTTTAAAACCACTGAGCTTTGATTCAGTCAAAAGCTTGTCCTCACCAACCAGCTTGCCAGTGAATCTGAAAATGTGGACCTTTGCGTGAGTCAGTGCTTTCTGACATCAAAATCTCTTGAAGGAAAGAGGATCGTTCCCCTATTTTAAAGATTGAATTTGGCAAAAAATTTAAAAAAAAGAAGTAAGAATTTCAAGCCAGATGGAAAAAATCTTTAGGGCTAAACAAAATCTCATAAAATGAATGAGGAGGAACTAAGCATAAACTATGTGATATTAATGGGTTAGAGATGTGCAGAAGTTTAGGGAAGATATTATACATGAGCAGAGCATTTAGAGATTGATGGGTTTCTGGATAAGTGGAGGGAAGCAGTGTAGGAGGAAAAAGCCATGGGTAAAATAAAAGTTCCTGATGATCACAGATGTCACAGGACTGGAGGAGTTTGTGCTATAAAAGGGAGAGGGATCGTAGTTGAGATAATGAGAAGATGAGAGAGACTCGTAGGAGCCTCATTATGGAATCTACGGAGGGCTGATAAGGGCAGGGCTGATCCTGTCACTCAGATAGGATGTAGAACGCTATCTCTGAGTGGGACAAGAACTCTGCCAGGCTGGTTCAGGACCGGGCGAGTGAGGGTGAGGTCTTGCTCAGCATTTTCAATGAGTGGGCCAATCAGTGGCTCTATGAAAATGGCAGAGATTCCTTCCTTGGTCCCTGTTGGATAGTCACCTCGTAAAATTGATCCTAATTTCTGACAACTACTCATGAAATATGCCTGCATTTTCCCATGCCAAACATTTGCAAACCATCTATTTGAAAAGTTTAAATGGATATTGTTAACTGAAAAAAAAAAATCCACAATTTTTAAATTTAGAAACGGAAAGGAGACTTTTTTCTTATAAAGGGCTACATCCTGCAAGGTGGCCAACCTGCAGGCTGGGAAGCATGCCTCTGGCTGAAGCCCGGAGACAGGCACTTTGAAGGAGAAGGGGTTGAGTTGTAGAAGCTTCATTCTGAATAGGTTGACTAAACACACATATTCAACAAGTTACAGGAGGAGCTGTGAATATTCATGAAGGTGGTCCTGACACATGCCTAGTGAACAAACATGCATGTAACATACAACCCATATTCACCTTGGGGTGGAGAGTTACCATTTAAATTTGTTACAGTTTAGCCCTATATGTCAACAGGTTTTATCAGGAGACAAAGGCACTTAAGTGTGCAACCTCTGTAAACCAGCCAGAACCAGTCCATGATTGGTGGGCTCTTATCAGGAGAAAGTTACTGAAATCAGTCTCTTGTCTGATCGAAGCTGTAACTATGGCTGGCGGAACAGGAGTTTAGTGAGTGAGTGTCTGTCTGTGAGCTGGATGGATTGTGATTGTTTTAATATTGCTTACGTTGAGGCTGGGGCTTGTTTAGCTGCTAGAGAAAAAGAAAAAGCTGTGAGAACATAGTTTATCCTTTCAGTGTAGGGGTGTGTGACTTACCTCTTGCTTGGCATGGTAGGTCCTGTTTATAATTTGGTATCTTATGGCCACAAAGAGTCTGTTCTGTCATTCTTACAGTCTCTATTTTAACATTAATGCTGGCTGTTGTGACTAAACCATAAAAGGGAAGGGGCATAACAAGGCATGTCTGATGTCCCATCCTGTCATGGCCAGGAACTCAGTTTTCAGGTTTCTCTGGGCTCTCCTTGGCCACAATGGGGTCTGTTCAATAGGTGGGAGAGTCTGGATTTTATATTTGTTTATTTAGACAGAGTTTCGCTCTGTCACCTAGGCTGGAGTGCAGTGGCATGATCTCGGCTCACTGCAACCTTCGCCTCCCCAGTTCAAGCAATCCTCATGCCTCAGCCTCCCAAGTTGCTGGGACTACAGGTGTGAGCCACAACACCTAGCTTTTTTTTTTTTTTTTTTTTTTTTTTTTTTTTTTTTTTTTTTTTTAGTACTTTTTAGTATTTTTAGTAGAAATGAGATTTCCCCATGTTGGTTAGGCTGGTCTCAAACTCCTGACCTCAGGTGATCCACCTGCCTCGGCCTCCCAAAGTGTTGGGATTACAGGTGCGAGCCACTGTGCCCAGCTTGGATTTTATTTTTAGTTTACAACATGCATGCCCACACTTGCACATATATGCACACATGTGTGCACACACATATTTATAAGAAGAAAATATGGACAGCTGCTACAGTCTTCATTTCTGGCCACAGTATCGTAGCTAATATTTAACTCAACTAGTTGGGGATCCTTTTTCTTGTCGGGTGACCCAAACCTTAATTCCCAAAGGGTGTGAGTCCTTAGCAGTCCTGCCTTTGTGAGGTTGCTATTATTGTCCATTTCTATTTCCAAAGGCTGACAAAATAAATTACCACAAACTGAGTGGTGGCTCAAAAAACAAATTGATTTTGTCACAGTTCTAGAGGCTGGAAGTCCAAAATCAAGATGTCAGCAGAATGCATTCCTTCTGGAGGTTCTGAAAGAAAAGCCTCCCTAGGCCCCTCTCCTAGCTCTGATGCTGCTGGCACGTCCTGGTAATTTTTTGGCTTGTTGCTTCATCATTCCAGTATCTGCCTCCATTGTCACATGGCACTCTTTCTGTGTGTGTCTGTGTCTCTTCTCTGTTTCCTTTTTTTTTTTTTTTTTTAAGACGGAGTCTCACTGTCTCCCAGGGTGGAGTGCAGTGGTGCGATCTTGGCTCACTTCAAGCTCTGCCTCCTGGGTCCACACCATTCTTCTGCCTCAGCCTCCCGAGTAGCTGGGACTACAGGTGCCCGCCACCATGCCTGGCTAATTTTTTGTATTTTTAATAGAGACGGGGTTTCACCGTGTTAGCCAGGATGGTCTCGATCTCCTGACCTCGTGATCCGCCCGCCTCGGTATCCCAAAGTGCTGGGATTACAGGCGTGAGCCACCGCGCCCGGCCTTCTCTGTTTCTTATAAGGACGATAGTCACATGGACTAGAGCCCACCCTTATCCAGCTCATCTACCCTTGATATCATTTGCAAAGACTGTACTCCCAAATAACATCACGTTCACAGGTATTGGGGGTTAGGATTTTAGCATAGCTTTTTCGGGGGACACAATCTAGCCCACAAAATTGTCCACTAACATTTTCTATTATGTGTGGCAGAGCCAAGAAGCACTCAAGAGCATCCCCTGGGTTTTTAGGGGGACATGGTTCTTCCTACCTCCCTTGTGAGCAGAAACCCAATTTCTGCTTAGGGATCAGCCAGGACAGTTACTCTATTCTTTATAGTGGAATAAGAAGCCTCAAATGACAGAATAAAGCCTCAGTATCCCATTCAACAGATACAGCCTTATTTTCTCCAGCAGAAGCACTTCTGTCTTAGGAACTAGAATCTCCAAACCAGCAAAGCACAAGATTCTGGAGGGAGAAGCAAAAATCCTGCAGAAGAAATATGAGAAGAGCCATTTCCAATTATGCCTCTTTGATTTCCAGACTCCTGTATTCTGTTGATTGATTGCTGCTTCAAAGCATATACTACTTCCAGAATGCTGTCACTTTATGGGCGCTGTAACTGAGTATTCTCAGGCCATTGTGCCATTATATCAGGACAAGGCAGAAATTGGTGGAGGTCAGTGTTACAATCTGCTTGCCCTATCATGTGGCTGAGTGGTTCCCCCGGGAAGTTAATGCTGCTGAACCCTTGAGTGGCTTCTATCACCACTTCCTTAGCCACTTTATACCCAGACCCATTGAGCAAACACCCCGGAGCCTTCCAGCACACCCACTGAATGTGTCATCACATCCCCCTGATTCCTGAAAGTCTCCTGTGTAGCAGATGACCTTCAGGGAACATTCACGTGGGACACAGGTATGCCCCACCCTGTGTCCCTTCTGAGAAGTCCATTTACACATCTCTTCTTCAGTCTGTCACTAGTTATCCAATGCCATTCTTTCCCAGTCTCTGACCATCTACTCAGAGAACCACACATGAATTTGTGTAGATCTGTACTTCTGTCCATCTGTTACGCAGATAAAATGAAAAACTAAATTTTACTGCTACAAGTTTTGTCCACTGGGAAGCTATCCTTTTCCCTTTGTTCTTCAGCACTATCCTTGAGTGAGACAGTAGCATTGGCAGCGATCCACTTATGGCTGGTGCCAGCATAACAGAACCATCTGCAAACCAGCTGCCGTAGGCAACTCCCAATGAGGTCCTAAGTGTAAATTATGGGAAGAAAAGATGGAGAAGAAGGAAAAGATGGAATCGGAGTCCTTAGCAGTCACCTGCTCATGAAACCTGTTTCTGGACTTGCCGAATCTTATTCTCCTCCCACCTTATGGCCTAGTGTGTCGGTGCATAGCCAATTCATGATGAACAGTGGTCATGAAGTTCTCATTTTGTCTTGACAAAGCTCAATAGCATAGCAAGATAAGAGTTGATTCTTAAAATAATAATTATATGCAGAGTAGAACATGGCTTTTCTCCAAAGCCCTATATATTTGCATTGCGATTCTCATTTGGGCTTGCCAGAAGCTCCTGAAAACAGATATTCAATTATGCTTTTATTTATTTATTTATTTATTTATTTATTTATTTATTTTGAGACGGAGTCTCGCTCTGTCACCCAAGCTGGAATGCAGTGGTGAGATCTCAGCTCACTGCAACCTCTGCCTCTTGTGTTCAAGCAATTCTCCTGCCTCAGCCTCCCGAGTAGCTGGGACTACAGGTGCCCGCCATCAGGCCCGATTAATTTGTGTATTTTTACTAGAGATGGGGTTTCACTATATTGGCCAGACTGGTCTCGAACTCCTGACCTTGTGATCCGCCTGCCTCGGCCTCCCAAAGTGCTGGGATTACAGTTGTAAGCCACCACACCTGGCCTTCAATTATACTTTTATGTGTGTCCATATGGCCCCAGTCACTTACCTTGGAGCTTTGTTGGTTACTCAATAAATGGGTTGGGACAGCACTCTCAAATGTGGTATTTGTTGCCTCCAAAGACATTTTCTCAACACCGTGCCCATTTTTTAGGGGTAGGTAATAGATGAAATAACAACTTCTGTTTCACTTTGGAAGAAATGCCCAAACATGCTTCAGACCACAGGGCCATGAGAAACCTCCCCAAGGCATGGGCCTCGAGATTTCATGGGGTTTATTGTTCACTCTTTGCCACACATGTGTCTCATTAAGACATTTAGGGTTCTTGCTGTGCTTGCTCACCAGATTCAACCAAGATGGTGTCCTGGGTATGGTGGAAGAAGATGTTCTCTGGGATGCAGACATTTCCCTGAACAAGTCCATCACAGAGAGCAGGAGAGTCTGGCCTCTTCAGATGTGAGCCATCATTAAGTTCAAATTCACTCCACCATCCATGCAAACTGTGAGAGCTGCTCCATGGTGCCCAAATCAGCACATTCAGCTAGAATCTCTGTAAGTGCTCTCACATGGATGGGGTCAGCCTTATTCAGTGTTGAATTCTGTGCTCTGTGGTGTAATGTTCTTAGGATTCATGCACTACATTTACCCATGTTTCTGGTACTTTGAATTGGTGAGTATTGCCCTTTTTATCATTTTTCTTCCCTCTCTCTTTTTTTTCTCTCTCTCCTATAAACCATGTCCTTCTGGATTGGACTTTGCTTTTCTCCCTGTGGAACATACTTGACATTTGTGACCCTAATTATGGGTCTCATGCACTAATGGGTGATGGGAGTGAGCCCTGAGAGTTTTAGATATCACCTTACCAGGGAGCTCAAGCATGTGAAGTTATTAAAAGGTCTTCAAATAAGGGAAGATTCTACAGGCAGGGAGAGGAGGCTGCTTCCTTCAGCAAGGATGGCTTAGAGAGACTTGGGGTGTAAATTTCCCAGCTTTTCTTGAATCCACACAGATAACCCAATTCCAAGTCTTGGAGAGCCCCCTGCTACAATCAAAGCCTAACTTTTACACAAATGTATTGGCGAGTCTGAGGATTGAACTTACGCTGTAATTTTGTACCTACTCCATTAAATTCTGCATCTATTTTATACAGCTCTATCTGCCTTGCTGCTTGTAAGTAAAACAAAGATGTTTTGTTTTGGTTTTAGTGTCACTGGAGAAGCTGTCTGATTCTCTGAACATGACGCAAGCCTTGCTGTCACCACCACCGTGAAGGTCAGATACAGCACCCAAGGTACTTGCTGCAATAGGCCTTTCTTCCCCTGCAACTGAGGTGATAATTGAATCATAATACCACTGCACGCCTTGGGTTATAGGAATCCCGTTTCCCACTCAGCATTGCATTCAAGACAAAGGACATACCAAGTCAACCCTAACATCTCACATCAGATGTTCATAAACGGCTCACATTTTCTGTACTTTATGCATATTTTTTTACTCATAAAAGAGTCAAGGGGAAACAGCTTTGAAGAAGGAGCCCAAATGATATTAGCGTTCATACTTATTTTTAGACTTCAAAAAGATAGGTATCTAAACACTACTTACTGGATAAATGTAAGGGTGTATTTTAGCCATTGTAGATTTCCTAACAGTAATTATTAACTATACAACCATACGAACTCATTATTAAGTACTTAGTGTGCTTTTGACATCAGCTCCATCTCGATTTCTTTGAATTGCATGAGCTGTTTTGTAGGACAGTACACATCTGTCCTGGAAGTGTCCCAGAGAGCCAGCAAACCCCTCACCTGCTGGACTGTGGCTGTGTTGGGAACCTGTCTACGTTTAAAACTCCAATGCTTTGACTGAGTGGTATTGGCTGGATAAAATCTGTGGTCTTTGTGAGCTCTACAAGGGCAAAGCTGGTTAACTTGTTCATTTCAAAGGAGTAATCTTAATATTGTTAATGTGGCTTGTGGCATCAAGGTTATTAGAATTTAAGGACTTAATAGATTTCTCCATCTACTACATCAATGGTAATTGTAGAAATTAGCTAAAATGCACTACTGCTTAAATGCAATGGAAAAATATTTCTTTCTTCCTTTCAAGACTTTAAGAGGTCTGAAATGTTTCTGTCCAGGCCCTTGCGCCTCTGCCACCGCTGTGAGAAGTACATATCCTGGCCAGCCTGCTGACTCAGGAGGTTGAGAATCAGGTGCAGCAGACCAGAGCACTGCTTCAGTGTCAGGGTAGAGCTGCTCCATGACCCAGAGATTCATACGAGTAAGTTATTTTCCTCAAGACCAGTGAGTTTGTTACACAACAGAATTGTGGCCATACCCAACCAATACAGCATGAATCTTTTCCATTACGTTACTATACAATTACACAATTGATCGTTCTATATGCATTGTTTTGTTAAACTGCATGTCTTAGGGATCCTCCAAGGTTAGTACCTATAAGCCAAACTTATTCTTTTTAATGGCTGCAGAGTATTCTGCAGTATGGTTATAGCAAAACTTATTTATTCATTCCCCTGTCGATGAATATCTAACTTCCCAATCTCTCCTTAAATCAACAATGCTGAAATGAACATTTTTATGTATATATGCCTTTTCACACTTGGGCATCATATTTAAGATAGATTCCTGCTGTAAAGTTTATGAATCAAAATATGTACATATTTAAATTTTGAGAATTACTGCCACTTTTTCTGAAAGGCTACACATTTGCACTCCCACCAATGATGAATGAGAACATTGATTACCCTGCCTCTTCTAAATTAATCCCAGCCTAATAGATGAGGAAAAAGTCTCATGGTTGTAACATACTATTTCTTGATTTTTGAGTAAGTTTAACACATTTTCATATGCTTACTATGTTTGACTCTTCCGAGAGAGTATGTTCATGGTCTAAATTTTTCTATTAAAATGTTTTTCTTTCTTATCAATTTTAGGATCTCTTTATATATTCTTGATATTCATCCGTATTGATTAAATATGTTACAAATATTATCTACCAATCTACCACTTGCCCATTGACTTTACAGTGTTTTGCTTTTTCACTAAAGAAGATTTTAGGTTTTTATGAAGACAAACGTTTCATTAGATTTATGTAGGACTTTTGATTTTTGCACATTGCCTAGAAATACTTGTACTTCACTTCAATATAATGAAACCACTCCGTATATTTTCTTTTACTAAATTTACAATCTTAACTTTTATCTGGCATTTATACCATTGCACTATTATGAAAACACTCTATAATGTTTTCTCCTAATAAGTTTACAGTACCATTTTATATCTGAACATTTTTTATAATGTAAGAAAAAATTTTTCCTATAGATATCTAATTATCTCCAAATTATTTATTGAATGAGCTATTCATTTACTATTGACTTTAAACACCATTATCTTTGTCATAAGCTACTATCTCATTAACAGAAGAGTATATTAATTTTTAAAGAGTTTTAAAAATTTTATAGCAAAAACACATAAAAATTTACATCTTAATTGTTTTTAATGTACCGTTTAGTAGTATTAAGTACATTCACATTGTTGTGCAATCGTGACCACCATCTATCTCTAGAAATTCTTTAATTTGCAAAACTGAACATGTACCCATTAAAAAATAACTCATCATTTCACCCTCAAAAGGGTGAAAATCCTGGAAAGCCTGGAAACTGCCAGTGTACTTTCTGTCTCCATGAATTTGACTACTCTATGTATCTCATATAAGTAAAATCATGCAGCATTCTTTTTATGACCAGCTCTTTCACTTAGCCTAGTGGCTTCAAGATTCATCCATGTTGTAGCACGTGACAGGATTTCCTTCCTTTTTTAAGGATGAGTAATATTAAGGATATATTTCTAAAACCTCGAGCCTGTTTATCTGTTTTATTTTTCTACTTTGGTACAATACTACAATGTTTTAAATACAACAGATCAATAGTGATAAGAAAAAGCTGGTATAGTTGGATATTTGTCCCCTCCAGATCTCACGCTGAATTTGATCTCCAGCGTTGGAGGTGGAGGCTAGTGGAAGGTGCTTGGGTCACGAGGGCAGATCCCTCGTAAATGGCTTGGTGATATCTGCTTGGCAGTGAGTGAGATCTTTTTCTAATAGTTCATGAGAGAGTTGGTTGATTAAAAGAGCCTGAGCTCCCCTTCCCTCTCTCACCCTCTCTCTCGCCCTCTCTCTCACCCTCTCTCTCGCTCTCTCTCTCACCCTCTCTCACCCTCTCTCTCACCCTCTCTCACTCTCTCTCTCACCCTCTCTCTCACCCTCCCTCTCGCTCTCTCTCTCGCCCTCTCTCTCGCCCTCTCTCTCGCTCTGCTCTCTCTCTCACCCTCTCTCTCGCTCTCTCTCACCCTCTCTCTCGCTCTCTCTCACCCTCTCTCTCGCTCTCTCTCTCGCTCTCTCGCCCTCTCTCTCACCCTCTCTCACCCTCTCTCTCGCCCTCTCTCTCGCTCTCTCTCTCACCCTCTCTCTCGCTCTCTCTCTCGCTCTCTCGCCCTCTCTCTCACCCTCTCTCTCGCTCTCTCTCTCACCCTCTCTCGCTCTCTCTCTCACCACAACATAAACCTGCTCCCCTTCACCTTCCACTGGTGGTGGAAGCAGCCTGAAGCCCTCACCAGAAGCAAATGCTGACACCATGCTTCTTGTACAGCCTACAGAACCATGAGCCAAAGAAACTGCTTTTCTTTATAAATTACCCAGCCCTAGGTATTCCTTTATGGGAACACAAAATGGAATGAAATACAAGTAAATTTGCCATCTTATCGTTCTCTTTGTAAAAATGAATTAGACATTCTCCACTGCTGTGGTCTGAATATGTCCCCCAAAATTCATATGTTGTAAACGTAATGCCCAATACAACAGTGTTGGGACATGGGGCATTTTGAGAGATGTTTAGGTTTCTTCAAATTGATATCATTATAAAAGGGCTTGAAGGAGAAAGTCTGGCCCCATTTCACCCTTCCTTCCTGATATGGTTTGGCTGTGTCCCCACCTGAATCTCATCTCGAATTCCCATATATTGTGAAAGGGAACCGGTGGAGGTAATTGACTCATGGAGGCAGATCTTTTCCGTGCTGTTCTCGTGATAGTGAATAAGTCTCACGAGATCTGATGGTTTTAAAAATGGGAGTCTCCCTGCAAAAGCTCTCTTCTCTTGTCTGCTGCCATGTGAGACATGCATTTCACTTTCTGCTGTAATTGTGAGGCCTCCCCAGCCATGTGAAACTGTAAGTCGAATAACCCCCTTTCTTTTGTAAATTGCCCAGTCTCGGATATGCCTTTGTCAGCAGCATGAAAACGGACTAATAATACACTTTTCTTCTGCTATGTGAGGACACAGCATTTGTCCCTTCTGGAAGATGCAGCATCCAAGGCACCACCTTGGAAGCAGAGAATAGCCGTTACCCGATAGTTAAGCCAGCCAGCACCTCAGTTGGACTTAGGCTGTAGAACGGTCAGAGATAAATTTCTGTTCTGCATTAATTACCTAGTCTCAGATATTCAGTTATAGCAGCACAAAACTGACTAAAACATCTGCCATATGAATTTTAAAAACCTTTTATCAAGTTCATAAAACTTTCAGTTAAATTGAAAATTTTCTTTTTTTGGGGGGGTTTATTATTATTTTTATTTTTTATTATACTTTACGTTTTAGGGTACATGTGTACAATGTGCAGGTTAGTTACACATGTATACATGTGCCATGTTGGTGTGCTGCACCCAGTAACTCGTCATTTAACATTAGGTATACCTCCAAATGCTATCCCTCCCCCCTACCCCTACCCCACAACAGGCCCCGGTGTGTGATGTTCCCCTTCCTGTGTCCATGTGTTCTCATTGTTCAATTCCCACCTGTGAGTGAGAACATGTGGTGTTTGGTTTTTTGTCCTTGTAATAGTTTGCTGAGAATGATAGTTTCCAGCTTCATCCATGTCCCTACAAAGGACATGAAATCATCATTTTTTATGGCTGCGTAGTATTCCCTGGTGTATATGTGCCACATTTTCTTAATCCAGTCTATCATTGTTGGACATTTGGATTGGTTCCAAGTCTTTGCTATTGTGAATAGTGCTGCAATAAACATATGTGTGCATGTGTCTTTATAGCAGCATGATTTATAATCCTTTGGGTATATACCCAGTAATGGGATGGCTGGGTCAAATGGTATTTCTAGTTCTAGATCTCTGAGGAATCGCCACACTGACTTCCACAATGGTTGAACTGGTTTACAGTCCCACCAACAGTGTAAAAGTGTTCCTATTTCTCCACAGCCTCTCCAGCCCTGTTGTTTCCTGACTTTTTAATGATCGCCATTCTAACTGGTGTGAGATGGTACCTCATTGTGGTTTTGATTTGCATTTCTCTGATGGCCAGTGATGGTGAGCATTTTTTCATGTGTCTTTTGGCTGCATAAATGTCTTCTTTTGAGAAGTGTCTGTTCATATCCTTTGCCCACTTTTTGATGGGGTGGTTTGTTTGTTTTTTTTTTGTAAATTTGTTGGAGTTCATTGTAGATTCTGGATATTAGCCCTTTGTCAGATGAGGAGATTGCAAAAATTTTCTCCCATTCTGTAGGTTGCGTATTCGCTCTGACGGTACTTTCTTTCGCTGTGCAGAAGCTCTTTAGTTTAATTAGATCCCATTTGTCAATTTTGGCTTTTGTTGCCATTGCTTTTGGTGTTTTAGACATGAAGTCCTTGCCCATGCCTATGTCCTGAATGGTATTGCCTAGGTTTTCTTCTAGGGTTTTTATGGTTTTAGGTCTGACATTTAAGTCTTTAATCCATCTTGAATTAATTTTTGTATAAGGGGTAAGGAAGGGATCCAGTTTTTCATGAGATGTATAGATTAACCTGGAGATAATTTACATTTTCCATGACTGTATCTTTCAGTGTAGGTATAGGGTATGTCTCCTCTTATTTTTTTTTTTTTAACATTCTTCAACAAAGTTTACAATTTTATTCACATCAGACTTGTATACTCTTTGTCAGGTTTATGGTAGAATTTGCTGGCAACTCTTCAAAATTTAATCAACCCTTTTCTTTGTGCAAGCAGTTAGATTCCCTTCCCAGCTTCCCTTGCAATTAGTTGGGGTCATATGACTGAGGTTGTAGTTAGTGGAATTTGAGCAGAAGTGATGGATGTTACTTCCAAGCCAGGACCTTAAAACCATCCCACACTTTCTCTAAGCTCTCTTTCCTTCCTGCCTTGGATGACAACTCCCAGGGTGATCTTGGGAGAAACCTGTGGAAGGTGACAGAACCCCTGTGTCCCTGAATGATGCAGTGGAGCAGAGTCCCAACCTCCCCCTCTGGACTGCTGCCCTGGGCTTTTGGATGAGTGAAACATGAACTGCTCTTGGATGGAGTTGTTACACGTTTGAGTCTGTTACTACAGCTGATTCTACCCTAATCAGTATCAAACCAGTGACCTTAAGAAGGTGTGATGCCACAGATGAGCCCTGAAATACATGAATGCCACTTCCAGGCCACCCCATAACAACCTTACATACACACTCTTCCATGCTTTCCTCCTCTCTGGCTAACCAGGATTGCAACTCCATGATAGCCTTGGAAGCAGGGTATAAAAGATGGCAGAGTCGCTGCTCACCTGTGCACCCAGAGCCTCCACACCTGCCTGGAACCACCTGGAACGTCACGTTGCTAAGGGAGTTGTTAGATATTGGGGTCTCTGTAATGCTAGAAGAGGTTCCATTTAGATAATAAAAGTTCTTCTTTGGGGTTTTGTGTGCATTTAAACAATTGGTAATGGCATTTGTTTCTTTCTATCATGTTTTCTAATTGGTTATTGTTAGTATTTTTAAATGTTTATTTTATATCAGACCACCTTACTAGTTAATATAGTTTATCAGTTAATTCTGTGAAATTTTGGGGTAGATTATCAGATAAAACTTTTTAAAATGGCAGTTTTGTCTTTTCTTCATGCTGTCTGTACAATGTTTCTGTATTTACTGCTAAGATTTCTTATTCACTGTTTGCATAAAAGTGGTGCTAGTAGGTGTCCTTTTCTTGTGTATAATTTTAACATGAATATTTATGATATTTTGCCATTAGCTATTATGTTTGCTCCAGTTTTCTAGATCTCTCTTATACAAAATTAAGAAAGTTTTCTTTTATTTCTAACTTCACTGTTTTGCTTTGTTTACATTTTTATCAGAAATGTAATCAGGATGTTGGTTTTAGCAAATGCTTTCTTGATATTGATTGAGATGATCTTGTTTTCCTCTTTTAATCTGAAGACATACAGAATTGAATTAATAGATTTTGAAACTATTGAATCATGTTTGCATATCTAAGTCTTGATTTTACAAGACACACACATTTTTAAAAATCATTATTCTGTGAAATTCGCTAAGATTTTTTGGGGTTTAATTTCTGCAGCTCTCTGTGTTAGTGAGATTGGCTGATCTCATTTAGTTTTGTGTCAGCTTTGTCTAGTTGTGGTGTTAGTTTTATACTAGCCTCACAGAATAAGGTAGCAGCCTTCCCATATTGTTTGATGCTACAGCAAAGTCTGTATCACACAGGGATAATCTAATCTATGAGCTAAAGTTTCATAAAATTTATTAACTCAAGAAAATCCCTGAACTTGGTTTCATTATTATGGATAGATTTTTTTCTTTTTATTATCTTTTAAATTTGGTTTAGATGCTTTTGACTGTTTGAATTTTGTTTCTTATTAAGTTAAAAATGATAATTTATAGTGTTCTCAAAAACTGTCCATTTAATCTAGACATTGAAATATATTAATTTAATATCTTATATTTTAAATATATTTATATATTTATACCAGCTTGCTTTTAAAATTATATTTGTATTTATATTATATTACAAAATATTTTTAAATGCTCTTTTCATTGCAAAGAACTGTCTTTTTATTTTAGTGATGAAATCTGTGAATTTTAGCTGCTAAATCATTTTGTTTAAATCTTATTATATTGCTTCTACTTTCTTTAGGTTGTTTTTTCTTTGATTTGATTACATTTTTCAATTATGGAAAATTTTCAGCTGTTAGCTCCAAATACCTCCTCTCCATTCTTTCTCTCCTAGAACTCTTACAGATTGTGCATTCTATCATTAATTCCTCCTAAATGATCATTCCCAGTCGCCATTTTTTATATATCTGCTGTAATCTGAGTGATTTCTCAGTGCTAATGTCTACCTCACTGATTCTCTCTGTTGCTATTTCTATGTAATCTGTTGAAAACTGCATCTATTGATAAATTATTTTCTTTTTTGCTATCCTTTCATTCTTTATTTTTAGTTTATTTGTTTTATGGAAGGAAATATGGCTTGTATCATTTTTGCTTTTAGGAATGTGCATAGCTTTTCTTTGCAGCCAGACACATAATCTATTTTTGTGCCTATCTGGGTAGGGAGGATTTCAAAAACACCTGGAGGCAAGAATAGGGAACATTAACTGCCTTAAAACCAGGATCAGTCCTGGCTCCCCAGGGGCTCAGCTCATTGGCTCCAGACAAGAGTTCTGATCTGAACATCTGAGTTAAGAAAAAAGACCTCATGTGTCTTCCTGTGCCATCCTGCTGGAGCAAGAGCCAGGAGACCTACAGGAGCGCTGCTTCCTCCTCCCTTTTATGCGCTTGTCTCAAGTCTGTTTTGGAGGCCATTGCAAAGGTGCTGCCTGCAGGAGCCAGCCCTCTGGGCGTGTGGAGGGAAGGGCACACTGACTAAGCTGCCCACAGGAGGGAAGCGGGACCAAGGACGTGGGAGGAAGCTCACATGGTAACTATGGGGCATAAGGCATTTTGAGAAAAGCAAGACTTTGAGGAGGAATTTTTAGGACTAAAGAATAGCATGAGTGTCTGGAAATCCTAGGGTAAAGAGCAACTCATAAGGAGAAAGAGAAAGGTGGGAGAGCTCAGAGGCAAAAGTCTATTCTTACCTGTGCCCTGGACTGGCCCTTCCCTACCCCATTTCCTAGACACCGAGATAGAATTTCATGCTGCTCACAGTGTCCGGACTGCAACACACCATTTCTGTGTTTCCTGTAGTTAGGTGGAGTTGATAATTTAAGTAACAGACAAAACTAAGAGACCCCTTGGCCAGTCTCAGGCAGCAAGCACAGTGTGTGCCCTTTATTATTTTATTTTATTTATTTATATTTTTTGAGACAGAGTCTCACTGTGTCGCCCAGGCTGGAGTGCGATGGCGGGATCTCGGCTCACTGCAAGCTCTGCCTCCCGGGTTCACGCCATTCTCCTGCCTCAGCCTCTTGAGTAGCTAGGACTACAGGCGCCTGCCACCATGCCGGGCTAATTTTTTTTTTTTTTTTTTTTTTTTTTTTTTTTTTTTAGTAGAGACAGAGTTTCACCGTGTTAGCCAGGATGGTCTCGATCTCCTGATCCCCCCTCCTCAGCCTCCAAAAGTGCTGGGATTACAGGCGTGAGCCACCACGCCTGGCCGTGTGTGCCCTTTATACTAGTAATAGGCACATGTGAATTTTGTCCACACTTATGCAGAAATGGAGAAAGAAGCACTGCAGTAAACACCTAAGAAACAGCAATCAGAAAGGTTGTGGGCAAAGCTCGATATTCAGATGTGTCCTGGACTCCCCTCCAGTATCATTTTAATTACAAATCATCCATATGGAAACCTGGAGACTGTTTTAACTTTCCTTTTCAGTTTTTAGTTATATCTTACATCTTATATCACTTTCTAAAATTGAATAACCTGGAGATTAATTTATTTGCTTGTCACTTTTCCATTAGAAGCTTGAATTCATTTCTGTTTTCATTACCAGTACACAGTGGCTTGTCCCAAATTATCTTCACCCAAATCCTACCTGGATGAACTTACAGCATTTTAATAAAAATGGTTATTTGCTCTGGGAGAAAATTGTAATGGGCAAAATAAATCTCCTTATCTTTGAAGTAGTTTGAATGTGAGATCACAGTATGTCCTTTCTGTTAATACTTGGCTGCAGGATAATCCATGATTCCTTCTTTAAAAAAGTTCAGTACTAAAGTTGTTATGCAACATTTTATTAGAAGATAAAGTGCTCCCATTCTTCATATATACTCCATAAACTGCTGAGATGTCAAAGTGCTCCATAAATAATACAAGCTTCTTGCCCATCATTAACAAAAGACGCTGCTAAGTGGACAGAAAATTCAGTAATTCCCTTTTATGGAGATCACAGTACATACACTTAGTCCAATTTGCTGACCCTGCCATCAAAAATTACTGTCTGCAGAAACCCTGGCCTGGATTTTTTCACACTGAAAAATGGAGAGCTGGGGATTTTAATGGAAGACGCTGAACACTGGTTAAAATTCTGCCTTCACTTGAGAACTGGTCCACTGAGAAAAAATTATAACTATTGCTTCCCTTCCATTGAGAACACACTCTTCTATCAAAGGCATTCTGAGCCAGGAATCTGAGCTCTTTCAAGAAATCAGCTTATAGTAAGGCCAAATGAACTGCTAAGTCAGATCCCAGTGTGATGATATGCATATTCCCATTTATGATATGTCATCAATCATGGCTCATGCCTCTTGATTGCACTATGATAAATATGCCACTCAAGCAGGTTCATCGTACATCAGAGCCAGGGAAGGCAGCTTGGGAAATGCACAGGGTAATGGGCAACTTGGAAAGTGTGCAAATCCAGACAAGGCAGGTGCCTGCAGGACAAATCAGCCAAAGCCAACCAGATGTCTGGGCACCTGGTGTGGACATGCTTTCCCTCAGCCCAGATTTAGTTTCAGTGCATCACGTCTCTGTGTTCCAAGCAGCAGTTAACCTAAAGGCCGCACTAACATCTCTGGTGAGTTTACGGCCTCTGGTTCCTATCTACTCTCTGATTTAGGATATTCTTCAGCAGCAGATTGATCCTACATTCTGGCAAGTGCAGTTACATGGATCGTAATGTGCAAGTTCCCATGACCCCTCAGTCTTTCTTTCCAGCTGATGCACAAGTTAGACTCTAGTCCTCTCCAGATGTTTCATCTCACAATATGAAATCCACCTTTCACTGGTATCTCTCACACAAATCAGAGCCAGATTGCCAAACTTCTTCACCTGACCTAATCGGCCAAAAACCAGAAAGCAGTATTTGCTGTTTTCCAATGATGTGGCCCACCGTGATTAACTTCCATAACACACAAACATGTTCCTCAAAAAGAAAGGCTAATGCTACATTCTAGAGAAAATGTATTACCCCTTGATATGGTTTGACTCTGTGTCCTCACCCAAATCTCATCTCAAATTGTAATCCCCACGTGTCGAGGGAGGGAGGTGATTGGATCACTTCCAATGCTGTTCTTGTGATAGTGAGTGAGTTCTCATGAGATCTGATTTTAAAAATGGCAGTTTCCCCTGTGCTCTCTCTCTCTTGCTGCCTTGTGAAGAAGGTGCTTACTTCCCCTTTGCCTTCTGCATAATTGTAAGTTTCCTGAGGCCTCCCCAGCCATGTGGAACGGTGAGTCAATTAAACCCCTTTCGTTTATAAATTACCCAGTCTCAGGTAATATGTTTACAGCAGTGTGAGAAAGGACAAATGCACCCCTCTCACCCTTTCTTTCCTGTTAAATTGTTTCAAAACTAGCTTTGGGGCATGTTAAAAATGTAGATGCGCCAGGCGGATAACTCATACCTGTAATCCCAGCACTTTGGGAGGGTGAATCACGAGGTCAGGAGATCGAGACCATCCTGGCTAACACAGTGAAACCCCGTCTGTATTAAAAATACAAAAAGTTAGCCGGGTATGGTAGCATGCACCTGTACAGTCCCAGCTACTCGGGGGGCTGAGGTGGGAGAATCACTTGAACCTAGAGGCAGAGGTTTCAGTGAGCTGAGATCGCACCACTGTACTCCAGCCTGGGCAATGGAGCAAGATTCCATCTCAAAAAAAAAAAAACAAAAAACAAAAAACAAACAAACAAACAAACAAAAAAAACCTGCCTGGGCCTCAAGTGCAGACCTATTAAATTAAAATTTCTGGGAATGGGGCTTACAGACTCTTGTTTTTTTATAAGCAGCCAGATAGTTCTGTGCATTGAAGTTTGAGAAGTTATTTGGGGTAGGTTTTCTCTGAGATGCCTTTCTGCCCTGATATTTTGTGGTTCTAGAAGCATTCAAAGAAAACTGTCAATGCACACCCCAAAGGCACACCCATGGGTCTCCTGCAGCACTGGCCACCATTCTCAGACCATTGCAGGACTGTGCAGAGGGAGTGATGGACAGGGGAAAATGGGACAGGGAAGAGCTAAGGGGTGGAAATCACAGGTCTGCTTTAAACTTCAGTGCCTTTACTTCTGGCTCTGCTGTCTTAGAGCAATTACATGACCTCACTAATTTCAGGTTTTCTAATTTCCAAGACCTGCAGTGTTAGATCAGTTACATGACCTCACTATTTCAGGTTTTCTACTTTCAAAATAGGAGTAAAAACAGATACTTCCCAGATGGCAGGAGGGTCAAATGAAGCAATAATGGGGCTGTATATAGCAGTGTTTAACTAAAATTTGAATTATTTAACTCTGTAAATGTTAGTTTTCTTCCCAGTTTCCCATTTGTAAATGATCCCTGGTTCGTGGGTTATTTTGAAGATCACCTTAGATGTATATGAGAGAGACTCTCTATGGATGACGTCGTGAAGAGCAGAGACCCTGAATCCCTTTACCTGTCGGGGAAGAGGGACAGACAAGGCCACCAGTTCAATCTGAGAAAAGGGCAGTGTGGTCCACTGAATAGTGTCCCCCCAGGACCTCCACCATCTGGTCCCTGGAACCTGTGATATGGTGACTTGGAAGGCAAAAGGGATTCTGCAGATGTGATTAAGAACTTTGAGTTGGGGAGATTATCTTGGGCCATCCAGGCGGGCCCTAAATGTAATCATAAATTTTCCTATAAGAGAAAGGCACAGGGGACTTGATGACAGTAGGGAAAGGCAGTGTGATGACACAGTCGGGGGGAAGGTGATGTGATGCAAGGAAGGGGCCAGGAGCCACGGGACGCAGGCGGCTCTGGAAGCTGAAAAGGCAAGGAAGCGATTCTCCCTAGAGCCTCAGTTAGAACCAGCCCTGCCCTGCAGACACCTCGGTTTTGTTCCCATAAGACTCAGTTTAGACTTCTGACCACCAGAACTATACATTCCCACTGTTTGAAGCCACCGAGTTCGTGGTAACTTTTACAGTAGCCACAGGAGAGGAATGCACGTATATGTAAAAGCAACACTATTGCTAAGAAAGTAAGGAGCACGTTTTCATAATTTACAGATGACAAGTATCTGAAATTTCAAGGGTAGTTTGAACTCACATATTTCCCCCACCAGCACTTTCAGGGCACTCACTCAGTGCCTGGCCTTGTGCAGCTCCGTATCACTCTGACAACCTAAAGTTTAGGCTGCTGCAGCCACTTTGCCCCACCTGAAGCATCTCAGGGGTGGGGGCTTGGGATGCTAAATTCTTCTCCATGCTGCAGGCCCAGGGTGCACTCAAGCTGGCACCGTGTTCCCCAGAGCTGGTCTCAGTATCTCCAGAGTGGGCGTCCTGGAATCCTCTCAGCCTGGGAGGTTCTCAGGGTGGCTCGAGCAGCCCTGTCCTCCCAGAGCCTGCTCAGGTCAGGAGACCCATGGAGGGAAGGGTAGGGACTTTCCTCCCAATCCCTAGAAGTCACTCCACCCACTATCCCAACCTTGCTTCCTTTTGGCCCCATTTGTCCTCTTGTCCTCACTTTGTCTGCCAGAATCATACTTCCGACCTATTGTAAAGGGTGGTTTTGCAGTAAAAATGAAGCTGATGCAACCAGTTCAATGCACAGAGGCCCCTGAGCTAAGAATAGGATGAGTGTGTAATTTCTCATCCACACCAGGACACTGCTGGGCTTGGCAAGCTCCCACTAAAGACAGCACAGTCACGAACCACAGGACTCAGGCCAGGGCAGGGAAAGTAAGAGGAGGCAGGCCCCTCTGTCAACCTCCATCTTCCCTTATCCGCAACTGGTGCTGCAGGCCTGCAGCTGCAGTAGGCTTCCAGGAGAGCCCTTCAGAAGACCTAAGGGCTGAGCAGAGTCCTCCGGGTGGAGAAGCAGGACACAGGCCTTTTATTTCCCTTTTCTTCCAGAACACCACCTGGATTAGAGAGAGCCACCTTTCCCAGGTGGGGCATTTGCCTCCTTTGACTGGCCCAGACTCATGATTATTCAAGGCTCTTGCCTGTAACTAGATCTTCCTAAGGAATCAGTGACTCTCTAGAACCCATCAGCAGAGGATCTTCTGCCATGTACACTGTTATCATGTCTCTTTTAGCCATCCATGAAGTTTCTATTTTCCAAGAGAGATGCCCAAAGCCTCCAAGCCACTTGCAGGGCAGTCAGGAATCACACACTTTGGATCCTATTACAGAGCAAGCCTTCCTTAATGCAGAACACCCCTTTCCCCTGCCCAGCTTTTCGGATTCTTTTGTGATGACCTTCCCACTCTACCTCCTCTCAGGTGGGCAGATAACACTGGATACGCAGTGACAATTTTGAATTTCAAATAAACAACTTAAGTTTTTTAGTTTCTTTCTTTTTAAAAAATACCTATTGCCCTACCTTTTCCCAAGCCCCTCCACCAAATCTGAAGAACACAGTTTCCAGAACCCTATCACAATTTTATCATATCAAAAATACACACTTAAAGGCTTTTTAAATTTATTGACGTGTGAAGTAGTTAAAGTGGCAATTATATAATTACACAATAATTTGGTGGAGATGATATTTCAAATTATAAGATGCATAAAGGAAAGGTAATAAAAGGGTCTTAGGCTAAAGGCCTTCAAATTTGTGATATACAAAGAGCACAGACCACAACCATGAAGTCCAGGAGGGCCGGGTCTTGCACTTGTAGAAAGTGCACAATCAGGCTGGGCGTGGTGGCTCACACCTTTGGGAGACTGAGGTGGGCAGATCACCTGAGGTCAGGAGTTTGAGACCAGCCTGGCCAACATGGTGAAACCCCATCTGTACTAAAAGTACAAAAAATTTGCTGGGCGTGGTGGTGGGCACCTGAAATCCCAGCTACTCAGGAGGCTGAGGCAGGAGAATCATTTGAACCTGGGAGGCAGAGGTTGCAGTGAGCCGAGATCACGCCACTATGCTCCAGCCTGGGTGACAGAGTGAGACTCTGTCTCAAAAAGAAAGAAAGAAAGGAAGTGCACGTTCAGATGATGTCTCCTCCCGGCCTCACACTCTCAGGAAGGAAAAACAGAACAGCTGCGTAGATCCCACGGTCTCTTCCTGAAGCTTCCCTAACTCTAGCACCAGTTCCAGATGGGACAGCCCGTAGGCTGCTCAGGCAGTGTGTCAAAGGCTCACCTGATGTGCCAAGGCTTTCTGGCTTGGAAGCCCCTTTCCGTGCCATTTTGTTAAAAATCTGTAAACAGAAATTTAAAGTAAATTTTACCTATTTATTATTTTGTTTTATGCTAATATGCATGTGAAGTTAACAATTTTGGGGCCGTTCTATGAACATACCAGTGGTAAATACCCATTATAATGTCTCTTTCTGTTTTCTGAAAAATGTTCTTTCAATGCAGATAAATAGTCATTGAAAATCAGTAGAATGTGTGTCTTTTGGTCAAACAGCAGGAGAGCTGGGAAGGGAAGTTGAAAGGCCTGGGTAATTTTCATTTGTCAGTAGTGAAATCATCAGATTAATGAATGAAGAATGCATGATTTCCACCTTCATGAAGTCACTGCTAGTCTTAACCAGACACCATAAAAAAATGCAAGGATGTCCTGAGCTGGAAAGTTAAAATCCTGAGTGTTCCAGAATCATAGACTTTAAATCCTAAGGTTTAATCCTGACATTATGCCATCAGGAGCCTGGTGGCCAGGTAAGGTGGAAAATGTAAACTATTTTACCAATTTCAAAAGAGCTCTGGAAATTAGCCTATGAATCCTATAAGTGAAAACGTCCTCCAGCCAAAGACCTCAGGATCAGGCCTATAGTTGAACGAGTTGGATTTACTATTTGTTGGAGGGAGAGAGACTACACGCAGGGCACACCAGCGGGAACTGTGGGGTGTCTCAGGCAGAGGGGGTTTGCCAGGACTCATTACAGAACTGGGGCATGTTGGGTGATCTGGGGAGAGCGTTCAAGGAAGTGGGGCTTTGCTCCAGATTTGGTTGGTGTTTGGAAGAAGGGGATGCTATGCGATGCGTGGGTTAATCTTACCTGGAAGAAGGCAGACCAGAGCCAGGCAGCAGGCTTTTAACTATAAAGCAGCAGCACTCACTAGCATGAGCTGGGAGAGGGGGATATTAAGTCACTTTTATGGTTTGAACCATGTTCTTGCCTTGTCTGTGTTCAGACCTAATGACATAATGGTCTTGTTCTTTTTTTTTTTTTTTTTTTTTGAGACAGAGTCTCGCTCTGTCACCCAAGCTGGAGTGCAGTAGCATGATCTCGGCTCACTGCAAGCTCCACCTCCCAGGTTCACGCCATTCTCCTGCCTCAGCCTCCCAAGTAGCTGGGACTACAGGCACCCGCCACCGCGCCCGACTAATTTTTTTGTAATTTTAGTAGAGACGGGGTTTCACCATGTTAGCTAGGATGGTCTCGATCGCCTGACCTTGTGATCCACCCGCCTCGGCCTCCCAAAGTGCTGGGATTACAGGTGTGAACCATCGCGCCTGGCCAGTCTTGTTCTTGTCTTATTCCGTCACACTCACCAAGTGGCTTCCCTGACCGTTCCTGTTCAGTGAACTGTTTATGTTCATCAGGAGAGACCAAGGCCCAGCTGTGGGCACCGGGCCAGCTCCTGCATATTAGGGGCCACCTTTGTCTTCTTAGAGCAATAATAACTGATGAACACCAGGACTAAGTTAGCACTGTGTGTTCTTGTTTACTGTGGGATTTTACTGAATAATATTTCATTACATTTCTTTCTCCAGAAATGCTGGGAAGGAATAATTTGGTGGAGACAATAGTTCAAATTATAGGATGCATAAAGGAAAGGTAATAAAAGGGTCTTGGGCTAAAGGCATTCAGGTCTCGCCGTATTCAAGTGTGCAATGATGTGTTGTAGCCACTGAGCCAAATCCTGGGAGACCACAAGAGGCTGATTGTGTCTGTCCCCATCAGTATCCAGGAAACTCACTTTCCCCAAACACACCTACAGCGAGGTAGTTCCCTAAGTTAGGCAGCCTCTATCCACAAGCCGCACCTGCATCTCTCCAGTACCTGAACACTTCCTTCATTCCACAAGCATTTCCAGACAGCCCACCTTCCCCTCACACTGCATCCTTCTCCTCAGGGACACAGAAACCCCCTCTCACTGCTGGTCCCAATTAGATGGGCAGGCCCCTCCCTGCTGCTCAAAGCACAACCAGAAACCAGGCTCAGAGGCAACCAGAACTCCGAAAGGTGTTCAGAGGAAGGCGGGCTGGTTTTGGGACCCCAGGGGGAGAAGGAAGGCACAGCAACAGGGTGCTTTATGGCCCCAAGACCAACAGAAGGTGACCCCAGCCTAGCACCCATGGCAGCCAGCTAGGCTTGCTCCCGCTCTGATGGAACAGGGCCCTCTGGCAATACCAGGCCAGCCTGACGCCACCTGACGGAGGAGGGACCTGAAGCCCTGTCCGCATAAGTGGCCCCAGGGTGGCTCCCCTCCTTGTGTACTGACAGCCCCTCCTCCCCACCCAGAAATATCTGGTTGGTGGGCACCTGCAGGGGATCCAAGCCTCTTCTTCAGACAGCCTGAGCCTTGGGCCCCACTGGGAGACACTCAGGGCAGAGCCTGGGGAAACTCCGTCTGCCCCTCAGCCTGCATCAGGAGGGATCCTGAGAGCCACAAGGACCCCCGAGAAACCAAGCAGGAGAGAACAACACAGCAGCGACTCTGGAAATTAGATGCCAGTAGAACCACAGCCTGCAAGATGGGCCAGGACCCATGTGCCAAACCTAAACAGGTCACTGCCTTCTAAAGCAAAAGAGTCACAGGGGACCCAGGTCACCTAACATGACAGGCAGAACGTCCACCAAACAACTGAAAACTCACCATCCTTCCAAGAGTGCAGAGATCACCACCAGCATGAGCACCACGATCAGCTGCTGCCAAGACCCAACTATCAGATGTTGGAATTATCTGACAAGGGCTCTAAAGTATCTGCCATTAAAAATGCTTCAGCAATGACAGGTTCTCTCGAAATAAATCAAACAATGGAAAATCTCAGCCCTTTCCTCACTGCCCCAGGGCTGGCAATCACTTGACATGGTTGCCTGTTACACCTGATAGCCCTCTTTGACTTCTTTTTTTTTTTTTTTTTATACTTTAAGTTTTAGGGTACATGTGACAATGTGCAGGTTAGTTACATATGTATACACGTGACATGCTGGTGCGCTGCACCCACTAACTCGTCATCTAGCATTAGGTATATCTCCCAATGCTATCCCTCCCCCCCTTCCCCCACCCCACAACAGTCCCCAGAGTGTGATGTTCCCCTTCCTGTGTCCATGTGTTCTCATTGTTCAATTCCCACCTATGAGTGAGAATACGCAGTGTTTGGTTTTTTGTTCTTGTGATAGTTTACTGAGAATGATGATTTCCAGTTTCATCCATGTCTCTACAAAGGACGTGAACTCATCATTTTTTATGGCTGCATAGTATTCCATGGTGTATATGTGCCACATTTTCTTAATCCAGTCTATCATTGTTGGACATTTGGCTTGGTTCCAAGTCTTTGCTATTGTGAATAGTGCCACAATAAACATATGTGTGCGTGTGTCTTTATAGCAGCATGATTTATAGTCCTTTGGGTATATACCCAGTAATGGGATTGCTGGGTCAAATGGTATTTCTAGTTCTAGATCTCTGAGGAATCACCACACTGACTTCCACAATGGCTGAACTGGTTTACAGTCCCACCAACAGTGTAAAAGTGTTCCTATTTCTCCACATCCTCTCCAGCACCTGTTGTTTCCTGACTTTTTAATGATTGCCATTCTAACTGGTGTGAGATGGTATCTCATTGTGGTTTTGATTTGCATTTCTCTGATGGCCAGTGATGGTGAGCATTTTTTCATGTGTTTTTTGGCTGCATAAATGTCTTCTTTTGAGACTGTCTGTTCATGTCCTTTGCCCACTTTTTGATGGGGTTGTTTTTTTCTTGTAAATTTGTTGGAGTTCATTGTAGATTCTGGATATTAGCCCTTTGTCAGATGAGTAGGTTGCGAAAATTTTCTCCCATATTGTGGGTTGCCTGTTCACTCTGATGGTAGTTTCTTTTGCTGTGCAGAAGCTCTTTAGTTTAATTAGATCCCATTTGTCTATTTTGGCTTTTGTTGCCATTGCTTTTGGTGTTTTAGACATGAAGTCCTTGCCCGTGCCTATGTCCTGAATGGTAATGCCTAGGTTTTCTTCTAGGGTTTTTATGGTTTTAGGTCTAACGTTTAAGTCTTTAATGCATCTTGAATTGATTTTTGTATAAGGTGTAAGGAAGGGATCTAGTTTCAGCTTTCTACATATAGCTAGCCAGTTTTCCCAGCACCATTTATTAAATAGGGAATCCTTTCCCCATTGCTTGTTTTTCTCAGGTTTGTCAAAGATCAGATAGTTGTAGATATGCGGCGTTATTTCTGAGGGCTCTGTTCTGTTCCATTGATCTATATCTCTGTTTTGGTACCAGTACCATGCTGTTTTGGTTACTGTAGCCTTGTAGTATAGTTTGAAGTCAGGTAGCGTGATGCCTCCAGCTTTGTTCTTTTGGCTTAGGATTGACTTGGCGATGCAGGCTCTTTTTTGGTTCCATATGAACTTTAAAGTAGTTTTTTCCAATTCTCTGAAGAAAGTCATTGGTAGCTTGATGGGGATGGCATTGAATCTATAAATTACCTTGGGCAGTGTGGCCATTTTCACGATATTGATTCTTCCTACCCAGGAGCATGGAATGTTCTTCCATTTGTTTGTATCCTCTTTCATTTCATTGAGCAGTGGTTTGTAGTTCTCCTTGAAGAGGTCCTTCACGTCCCTTGTAAGGTGGATTCCTAGGTATTTTATTCTGTTTGAAGCAATTGCGAATGGGAGTTCACTCATGATTTGGCTCTCTGTTTGTCTGTTATTGGTGTATAAGAATGCTTGTGATTTTTGTACATTGATTTTGTATCCTGAGACTTTGTTGAAGTTGCTTATCAGCTTAAGGAGATTTTTGGCTGAGACAATGGGGTTATCTAGATATACAATCATGTCGTCTGCAAACAGGGACAATTTGACTTCCTCTTTTCCTAATTGAATACCCTTTATTTCCTTCTCCTGCCTAATTGCCCTGGCCAGAACTTCCAACACTATGTTGAATAGGAGTGGTGAGAGAGGGCATCCCTGTCTTGTGCCAGTTTTCAAAGGGAATGCTTCCAGTTTTTGCCCATTCAGTATGATATTGGCTGTGGGTTTGTCATAGATAGCTCTTATTATTTTGAGATATGTCCCATCAATACCTAATTTATTGAGAGTTTTTAGCATGAAGGGTTGTTGAATTTTGTCAAAGGCCTTTTCTGCATCTATTGAGATAATCTTGTGGTTTTTGTCTTTGGTTCTGTTTATATGCTGGATTACATTTATTGATTTGTGTATATTGAACCAGCCTTGCATCCCAGGGATGAAGCCCACTTGATCATGGTGGATAAGCTTTTTGATGTGCTGCTGGATTCCGTTTGCCAGTATTTTATTGAGGATTTTTGCATCGATGTTCATCAGGGATATTGGTCTAAAATTCTCTTTTTTGGTTGTGTCTCTGCCCGGCTTTGGTATCAGGATGATGCTGGCCTCATAAAATGAGTTAGGGAGGATTCCCTCTTTTTCTATTGATTGGAATAGTTTCAGAAGGAATGGTATCAGTTCATCCTTGTACCTCTGGTAGAATTCGGCTGTGAATCCATCTGGTCCTGGACTCTTTTTGGTTGGTAAGCTATTGATTATTGCCACAATTTCAGCTCCTGTTATTGGTCTATTCAGAGATTCAACTTCTTCCTGGTTTAGTCTTGGGAGAGTGTATGTGTCGAGGAATTTATCCATTTCTTCTAGATTTTCTAGTTTAATTGCGTAGAGGTGCTTGTAGTATTCTCTGATGGTAGTTTGTATTTCTGTGGGATCGGTGGTGATATCCCCTTTATCATTTTTTATTGCGTCTATTTGATTCTCTCTTTTTTTCTTTATTAGTCTTGCTAGCGGTCTATCAATTTTGTTGATTCTTTCAAAAAACCAGCTCCTGGATTCATTAATGTTTTGAAGGGTTTTTTGTGTCTCTATTTCCTTCAGTTCTGCTCTGATTTTAGTTATTTCTTGCCTTCTGCTAGCTTTTGAATGTGTTTGCTCTTGCTTATCTAGTTCTTTTAATTGTGATGTTAGGGTGTCCATTTTGGATCTTTCCTGCTTTCTCTTGTGGGCATTTAGTGCTATAAATTTCCCTGTACATACTGCTTTGAATGCATCCCAGAGATTCTGGTATGTTGTGTCTTTGTTCTCGTTGGTTTCAAAGAACATCTTTATTTCTGCCTTCATTTCGTTATGTACCCAGTAGTCATTCAGGAGCAGGTTGTTCAGTTTCCATGTAGTTGAGCGGTTTTGAGTGAGATTCTTAATCCTGAGTTCTAGTTTGATTGCACTGTGGTCTGAGAGACAGTTTGTTATAATTTCTGTTCTTTTACATTTGCTGAAGAGAGCTTTACTTCCAAATATGTGGTCAATTTTGGAATAGGTGTGGTGTGGTGCTGAAAAAAATGTATATTCTGTTGATTTGGGGTGGAGAGTTTTGTAGATGTCTATTAGGTCTGCTTGGTGGAGAGCTGAGTTCAATTCCTGGGTATCCTTGTTGACTTTCTGTCTCGTTGATCTGTCTAATGTTGACAGTGGGGTGTTAAAGTCTCCCATTATTAATGTGTGGGAGTCTAAGTCTCTTTGTACGTCACTCAGGACTTGCTTTATGAATCTGGGTGCTCCTGTATTGGGTGCATATATATTTAGGATAGTTAGCTCTTCTTGTTGAATTGATCCCTTTACCATTGTGTAATGGCCTTCTTTGTCTCTTTTGATCTTTGTTGGTTTAAAGTCTGTTTTATCAGAGACTAGGATTGCAACCCCTGCCTTTTTTTGTTTTCCACTTGCTTGGTAGATCTTCCTCCATCCTTTTATTTTGAGCCTATGTGTGTCTCTGCATGTGAGGTGGGTTTCCTGAATACAACACACTGATGGATCTTGACTCTTTATCCAATTTGCCAGTCTGTGTCTTTTAATTGGAGCATTTAGTCCATTTACATTTAAAGTTAATATTGTTATGTGTGAATTTGATCCTCTCATTATGATGTTAGCTGGTTATTTTGCTCGTTAGTTGATGCAGTTTCTTCCTAGTCTGGATGGTCTTTACATTTTGGCATGATTTTGCAGCGGCTGGTACCAGTTGTTCCTTTCCATGTTTAGTGCTTCCTTCAGGAGCTCTTTTAGGGCAGGCCTGGTGGTGACAAAATCTCTCAGCATTTGCTTGTCTGTAAAGTATTTTATTTCTCCTTCACTTATGAAGCTTAGTTTGGCTGGATATGAAATTCTGGGTTGAAAATTCTTTTCTTTGAGAATGTTGAATATTGGCCCGCACTCTCTTCTGGCTTGCAGTTTCTGCCGAGAGATCCGCTGTTAGTCTGATGGGCTTCGCTTTGTGGGTAACCCGACCTTTCTCTCTGGCTGCCCTTAACATTTTTTCCTTCATTTCAACTTTGGTGAATCTGACAATTATGTGTCTTGGAGGTGCTCTTCTCGAGGAGTATCTTTGTGGTGTTCTCTGTATTTCCTGAATCTGAACGTTGGCCTGCCTTGCTAGATTGGGGAAGTTCTCCTGGATAATATCCTGCAGAGTGTTTTCCAACTTGGTTCCATTCTCCCCGTCACTTTCAGGTACACCAATCAGACGTAGATTTGGTCTTTTCACATAGTCCCATATTTCTTGGAGGCTTTGTTCATTTCTTTTTATTCTTTTTTCTCTAAACTTCCCTTCTCGCTTCATTTCATTCATTTCATCTTCCATCGCTGATACCCTTTCTTCCAGTTGATTGCATCGGCTCCTGAGGCTTCTGCATTCTTCACGTAATTCTCGAGTCTTGGCTTTCAGCTCCATCTGCTCCTTTAAGCACTTGTCTGTATTGGTTATTCTAGTTATACATTCGTCTAAATTTTTTTCAAAGTTTTTAACTTCTTTGCCTTCGGTTTGAATTTCCTCCTGTAGCTCGTAGTTTGATCGTCTGAAGCTTTCTTCTCTCAACTCGTCAAAGTCATTCTCTGTCCAGCTTTGTTCCATTGCTGGTGAGGAACTGCGATCCTTTGGAGGAGGAGAGGTGCTCTGCTTTTTAGAGTTTCCCGTTTTTCTGCTCTGTTTTTTCCCCATCTTTGTGGTTTTATCTACTTTTGGTCTTTGATGATGGTGATGTACAGATGGGTTTTGGTGTGGATGTCCTTTCTGTTTGTTAGCTTTCCTTCTAACAGACAGGACCCTCAGCTGCAGGTCTGTTGGAGTTTGCTAGAGGTCCACTCCAGACCCTGTTTGCCTGGGTATCAGCAGCGGTGTCTGCAGAACAGTGGTTTTCGTGAACCGCGAATGCTGCTGTCTGATCGTTCCTCTGGAAGTTTTGTCTCAGAGGAGTACCCGGCCGTGTGAGGTGTCAGTCTGCCCCTGCTGGGGGGTGCCTCCCAGTTAGGCTGCTCGGGGGTCAGGGGTCAGGGACCCACTTGAGGAGGCAGTCTGCCCGTTCTCAGATCTCCAGCTGTGTGCTGGGAGAACCACTGCTGTCCTCAAAGCTGTCAGACAGGGACATTTAAGTCTGCAGAGGTTACTGCTGTCTTTTTGTTTGTCTGTGCCCTGCCCCCAGAGGTGTAGCCTACAGAGGCAGGCAGGCAGGCCTCCTTGAGCTGTGGTGGGCTCCACCCAATTGGAGCTTCCTGGCTGCTTTGTTTACCTAAGCGAGCCTGGGCAATGGCGGGCGCCCCTCCCCTAGCCTCACTGCCGCCTTGCAGTTTGATCTCAGACTGCTGTGCTAGCAATCAGCGAGACTCTGTGGGCGTAGGACCCTCCAAGCCAGGTGCAGGATATAATCTCCTGGTGCGCCGTTTTTTAAGCCCGTCGGAAAAGCGCAGTATTTGGGTGGGAGTGACCCGATATTCCAGGTGCTGTCTGTCACCCCTTTCTTTGACTAGGAAAGGGAACTCCTTGACCCCTTGTGCTTCCTGAGTGAGGCAATGCCTCGCCCTGCTTCGGCTCGCGCACGGCGCACTGCACCCACTGTCCTGCGCCCACTGTCTGGCACTCCCTAGTGAGATGAACCCGGTACCTCAGATGGAAATGCAGAAATCACCTGTCTTCTGCGTCGCTCACGCTGGGAGCTGTAGACCGGAGCTGTTCCTATTCGGCCATCTTGGTTCCAGACAAAAAGTCTTTGACTTCTTTTAGGGGCGGGTGCCTTTGCCTGTGTAACCACTGTTCATAGGAAAGTGTCCCCATTCACATGACTCCAGTGGTTTCTGCCACCCGTCTGCACCGATTGAGTGACTGAGGGGCTCTGCAGCGCTAGCAAACATTCACCTGGGGAGATAGAGAAGATGCTTTAGATCATACTCTCCTGGAAAATGCCTTGAAACCCTCTTTCAACATTTCTTCCTCCTAGTCCTTCTGTCCCAGGCTTTGAGCAGGTTATTCCCTCATCAGCCACGTCCTGTCGGCTGCCATTTTCCATCTCATATCTGACCTATAAATCACATCCTACATCTCACCTTAAGACTGGAGGGAGATCCAGCTCCCACTGCCACACCTGGTCAGCCTCCCAGCATATGGGACTCAACAAAGTTTAGGGCAGAAGTGGAAAGAATATGCTGTAGCTCCCAATTCTTTTTCCAGAATCTAAAAACAACTGAATTATACCACTCTCTGGCCCAGAGCCTTCAGTCGCCCCTACTGCTCTTAGGGAAAGCACTAGGGAATCCCGAAGACCCCCATCTCCCATCCCAGACAGTGCCTTCTCCCACCCTCACTCCTCCTGCCCACCGCCACCCTGCCCACCCTGGCCCTCTCTGGTGTTCCTCTCATGCATACCTCTCAAGGTGCACCAGGCGGCTGCCTCTGGGTACTTGCCCAGCCCTGTCCCCTCTGCTCCCCTCTCGCAGGCCATCCCACCACACTCGTCCCACCTGGCTTGTGTCAATGTTCCATTACTGTTCACCGGCTGCCCACGCACCTCCAGCTCCACATCGTGAGTATTTCTCCCCCTTCTCATCTCATGTCCTAAAAGCATTCAACAAATATGTACTCAGTAAACGGTCTCTGCTGCTTTCCATGTGTAATGACCCCTCCCTAATGACCTCACCAGATGCCTCCTGGACCCACTGCCAAAGCCCCTGTATTTATTTATTTATTTTTTGAGACATGGTCTCGCTCTGTTGCCCAGGCTGGAGTGCAATGGCACAATCTTGGCTCACAGCAACCTCCGCCTCTTGGGTTCAAGTGATTCTCCTGCCTCAGCCTCCCAAGTAGCTGGGATTACAGGGATGCACCACAATGCCTGGCTAATTTTTGTATTTTTAGTAGAGATGGGGTTTTTCTGTGTTGTCCAGGCTGGTCTCGGACTCCTGACCTCAGGTGATCTGCCCGCCTCAGCCTCCCAAAGTGATGGGATTACAGGCGTGAGCCACTGTGCCCGGCCTAGCCCCTGTGTTTCTGAGCTGTGCTTTTTGGTATTTGGGTCCTGGTAAATATCACTTAGGAAGAGACAACTGACAATGTCTTTCTAAACTTTCCTTTTTCTCACCAGAGAATGTGTTGCTAGACGTCATTGTCATGGTGGCAGGAGGAATTTGTTAAACTTCAAAGGAATGCCTGTTTGTCATAAAGCCTTTAAAACAAGAAGATGGCATCTCCTATGTGGGAGGAGTGAGGTTTGATCCTGCGGAAAATAAACTTAGCTGACATTTTCGAGTGCGTCTTGTGTTCTGGGCTGTCCTTGCGACAGTGTCTTGGCAGGTAGTACTATAGTCACTCCTTTAACGTGGGGACACCCGAGTTTGGATAACGTGAGCAGTGTGCTGGAGGTCAGTCGGCAGGGGGCAGAGTTGGATTTGAAGGTGAGGTCGTGTTTGTGGGGCCACTGTTTTTAATCACGGTACTAGAGGCACCACAGAGAGTGTAGAGAAAACAGAACCGCAAGGCCTGAGTGCCTTAAAGAGAGGTTTTCAGAATCAGGACCCAGCATGCTTATTCTTGCTGCAGTGCCTTAACACGCTAAACAGCGCTTAACCGCGCTAAAACATCCCATGGGAAACTGTGACTGCAAGGCCCGGGGGATGTTCCTTCTCAGCCCATGCCCTGCCCATGCCCCAAGTAAAAGCAGTTTTAGGGACCACTAGTGTCCCAGGAATCATGGTATTAAAGAGTTGTTGGGTGTGGTGGCTCATGCCTATAATCCCAGCTGCTTTGGAGGCTGAGGCAGGAGAATCGCTGGAACCCAGGAGGCAGAGGCTGCAGTGAGCCGAGATCGCGCCATTGCACTCCAGCCTGGACAACAAGAGCCAAACTCCAATTCAAAAAAAAAAAAAGTTAACCTTTCAAAGCAAGATGGTTTTAGCCATAAATTTTCATAGCAACAGAGGACAGCACATACCAGTGACGGAACCGATACTTTGAATCAAGCCAGCCAGAGGGGTCTACACCCCCTTCCACTGCAGACACCAAAACACAGGGTGCCATTCTCCATTCCCTGCCATTTACAAAGAAGAATGGACAAAGTAAGTTTGAGGTTAACGAAAGCAGCCTCAGGATGTTGAGTTCCTAGTCTCAGTTCAAACAGCTATTTGTGTGAGGCTGGGCAAGTCGCTGGGGTGGGCCTCAATCCCCTCATCTGATTTTACCTGAGGCGCCACCAACTCTAGGAAGTCTCCCATGATTGTCTAAGGCTGGGATCCCTCCCTGTGTGGCCCTTACTCTCTTTTTACCTAATTCCCTTCCTAAGAACGAGCTCCTTCCAGCTAAGATAAGCTTTCTCATGACTGCACCCCCTGTGTCTGGCAGAGGGGACAGCACCTGACAGATGCCTGCCTTGGAGGCTGGGGCTGCCACAACAAAGAACCACAGCCTGGGGGCTTAAACACAGACGTGCATTTCCTCACAGTGCTGGAGGCTGGAAGTCCAAGATCAAGGTGGGCAAGGCTGGCTTCTCCTGCAGCCTCTCTCTTCGGCTTGTAGATGGCTGTCTTCCCTGTGCCTCAGACGATCACCCCTCTGACTGTGTCTGTATCCTAACCTCATCTTCTTATAAGGACACCAGTCAGAATGGATTAAGGTTCACCCTCATGGCCTGATTTTAACTCAATTACCTCTTTAAAGGCCCTCTCCAAATAAGATCACAGTCTGAGGTACGGTGGTTGGGCTTCAACATATAAATTTGAAGAATCTTAATTCAGACCACAACGGGGTCTCACATGTCTCAGGTGAATGGACTGAATCTCAGCCTGCAGTTCAATGGGATCACATCCATGTGAATCTGAATTGCAGCTGTGGGTTGACCTCAGCCAGTTGGCTTTGGCTCTCCTCTGCCCAGTTATTTCCAGGAGTCTGGAAGAATCTCAGGAGAGCTCAGGGAACCTGGAACAAACACCTACTGCTGGCCCCCACTGCTGCCACTCCTGCTCCCTCCTGATGGCAGGGTCCCTGTCTCCCCCAGTCACAGACACGCGGATGAGCCCCCATCTGCCTGGCTGACCCACTGCCTCCTGAGCCCAAGTCTCTTTGGCTGAGGCCCCAGTACACACCAACACCATTTTCAAAATGACTCCTTCACAATTTCTCTTTAAGGCCAGACACCAAAGTCCCCCAGACCTGTCTCTGGAACAAATACTCTTATCTTTTGTACTTGAACTAACCTTTAAAAAAAAAAAAGCTTGGAACCTGATGCCATAGACGAGCTCTGAGCTTCTGTATATTTGGAAATTCTGAATCTAATTGAATAGCATGAACTTGTCTTTTCCACAAAGGATTTGAGGCACTGTGTTTTTAAGTGACTAAGCCCACGTCCCTCTCCAGACACCACCTGGGGCTTGGCAATGAGGATGCTGGCGGGGGTTTAATATGGTCACACGGGAGCCAGAGAACCAACAAGGTTGACCAGGGCACAGGGGGCATGCTGAAGTATGGCTGGGACTGCAGCAAATTCTAATTCCAAGTGGATGGTAATTTCTTGAGCATTATGATGTTTGAAAAGTACAACAGAAGTCTATATTGTAATGTAGTGCCTTCTTATCCACAGGGATATGTTCCAAGACCCACAGTAGATGCTTGAAACCTTGGGTAGTAGTGAACCCTACATATGTTTTTTCTCTGATATATACATACCTATGATAAAATTTAATGTATAAATTAGGCACAGTAAGAAACTAACAGCACTTACTAGCAATAAAATAGGACAATCATAACCATATGCTGTAATGAAAGTTATGTGAATGTGGTCTCTGTCACAAAACATCTTATTGTCTTCGCCTATTTTCTGACTGTGGTTGACCACAGATAACTGAAGCCACAGAAAGAAACACCACAGGACATGTGTGGTGGCTCACGCCTGTAATCCCAGCACTTTGGGAGGCTGAGCTGGGCAGATCATCTGAGGTCAGGAGTTCGAGACCAGCCTGGCCAACATGGTGAAACCCCAGCTCTACTAAAAATATAAAAATTAGCTGGGCGTGGTAGCAGGCGCCTGTAGTCCCAGCTACTTGGGAGGCTGAGGCAGGAGAATGGCGTGAACTTGGGAGGCAGAGCTTGCAGTGAGCCGAGATCGCGCCACTGCACTCCAGCCTGGGTGACGGAGCAAGACTCTGTCTAAAAAAAAAGAAAAGAAAGTAACGCCACAGATGGGGGTGACTGTATGGTAATTACCAAAATGTGTAGGAGAAAAACATACTCACTTTAACCCTGACATATTGATTTCACCAAGACTATCTTTATCTTAAATGACAGCTTAAAATAATGTGTTTGAAAAACAATTACACTATTCATATTAATACAAAGATACTAAATGGCGAATTCTTGGCCGTTTTCATTTACCACAGAAAGAAAAGGGGGCAAATATAGTTGGAAAAAGATTAAACTCTGTAGCTTCATAAGGTCCTTCAATGTAAAGATGAATAGCTTCAACATGAAGTGAAAAGCATCTGCCACAATCTTCTAAAATTACTGGGAATATAATTTACCAGCAGCCTTGGTGCTGAGACATAACACACTCTCTCTCCATTGTTACCCATTGCCCTGAATATGTGGTCAGTGACTATCAACGCGTTGCGAGTGGAGGAAGGCAGGATCAGAGATATCGCTGCCCAAAAAAGCAACAATAGCAAACAGCAGCAGCAACACAGAATGATGGAGCCTCCTGCCACACTCTTCAAAGCGCTGCAGCCAGGAGGACACAGAGAAGAAGGTGGTGTGGGCCTGCAAAGGACAGACTCTGAATCAGTGCGACCCACCCCGCGTGTCCCTCCAACCCAAATAGCGGATCCCTCTCCCCACCCTACGCTGCCAGTCTCGAGTGAGGCTCATTGAGAAGGGAAGTTGTAAGTTGGAGGGAAAAAGTTTTAAGAGAGCCCATGAGTGCAGAAGTCCCGCCTCCCACCAAGGATCTCAGCAGATGCAGGAAAGTCACAGGCAGGAGGTCTTCAGGTGTCTTCCCTATGGGCAGGAAGGAAAGGGGATGTGACTATAACCAAATTCCTGCTCCCACCAGCCCTCCAACTACCAGCCCTAACAGCCAAATCCATGGACATTTTATCTGTCCTGACTGGAGGTTGAAGGGTGTAAGGAGAGAGGTTGGGAAATTTCACCGGGAGTACGCGGCTAACTGAGAAAGCTGAATAAGAGTTCACTCACCCCAAAGACCCAGAATTTCATGAATTAGAGCAATAAATAATGATATAGATCTCCTTCCAGGGTAATGCCTAAGATGTATTGGAGCACCAACAGACCAACATCAACAGCAACAAAGTAAAGACAAAAACGCCCAGGCTGTCCATCCTAGGGGCTGGCCTTCCTCTCAGAACCCCAGGCCAGGAAAGCAGGAAGAAGGGGGAGCACAGAGTCTGAAAGGGGCTGAGACCTGCTTTTTCAGAGGAATTTAAAGATCCACGTGGAGCTGCCCAAATTAAGCAAAAGTAAGAGTGAAATAAATGGCAAGGCATTCCTGCAAATGCACTGCAGGGGAACAGTGAACACAGGGTGGACCATGGTCTGTAAAGAAAGACAAAGATTTCATTCTGCAGCAAAATATATAACTGAATCCATGCAAGAAAGTTCTCCAAAATGTTGTGTAAGAAGTTAGTAAGAAATCGATTTCAATAAAAAAGAGCTAAAAGATAGAAAAGCAAAATGAAAGGTAAATTGCAGAGTTTTGGAAACAAATTGAAGAGCAAAAACTCATTTCAGAACGGGAAGAAAAAAAAAAAAACCTACCCGAACTGTAAATAGCAGGAAACAGAATAGACAATGCCAAAAATAACAAAGCTACCATCATAGAGGAAGAATTTCAGATCTCCAAAGGGAATAAGAGGAATAAAACACATCATTGCATATTCAAGCCAAAATGAGGAAAAAGAAGGAAAATTCATTTTGCATAAATAAATATACCATGTATGTGATGGTAGGAAATTAATTTCAGAAAGTAAATGTTATAACTCATGAATTTGTAAAAATAACAAAGATAATTGCACTATGAAAATTAGGTAAAAGGGAAGATTACCACAAAATGAATGAATTGCCCATCCTATTAAACATCTTTCAATTTTCTCTCAATAGTAGTCAACAGATACTCTTCTGAATTGATAAATATTAAAGCATATCACAGAGTGTTGTATAAGGAACCTGCAGAAAACCTAAAAACAAAAAGATAACTAATAATATATTGGGGTTTGAAGTGAGAAGTGGAGAATTAATAGAAACTGTCAGGTTGATAAATCATGAACTATAGGTTGAATTATGTAAAATTATATAGGTAACCACTTAAACACATAAAAGCAATAAATCTTTCATTTTAACAAAAGGATTGCACATAATCAGAAGGAGGGGGAAATAAAAAAATCCAAAAGGGAATGCAAAAGAAATATTAATTACAGATATTGAAAAAAATATTAAACCAAATATATCAGCAATATGTATTAAAAATATAAGTGCAGATCCAAGATAAATAAACCTAAAACAAAGTGCCTCAAAAAGGTTAAACATAAAATTGAGTATAAAATAATAAGAAATACATATTGGTCTGTGTCTCCAGTTTCTGACACAGAGCTCCTAATACCCTTGTAATTTCCTGAGTGATGGGGGTACTGGGAGCATCTTTTGTTCTAATATTGGTTGGGAGCATCTTTGACTGGGTTCCTGGTACAGAGCTTCCAATCCCTTGGAATTTCCTGGGTGATAGGAGCATCTTTTGTTCTAATGAACGACTCTTGGTGGAATCCTAGATGAGGGCTGGTCACCAGAAAGACCAAGCCATGGTTAGAAGCTTGGAACTTTCAGCCCCACACCCCATCCTCTAGGGAGGAAAGAGGAGTTGGAGATTGAATCAATAATCAATCATGCCTACATGATGAAGCCTCCTTAAAAATTCCTAAGTACAGGTGCGGGAGCTTCAGGGTTGGGGAACACGTGGTGGTGCTCCTGGAGAGGCCATGGCAGCTCCATACCCACCCCCACCATATCTTTTCCTGTATTTCTCTCCCATTTGGCTGTATTCTTTATAATAAGTGGATAAACATAGTAGTGTTGCCCTGGGTTCTCTGCGCTGTTCCACCAAATGACTGGACCTAAGAAGGGGGGCGTGGGAACCTCCGATTTATAGCCAAGTTGGACAGAAGCTGTGGGTGACCTGCAGACCCACCACTTACAACTGGCATCTGGAGCAGGGCAGTCCTGGGAATTGAGCCCCTCCCCTGTGGGGCTGGCTCTAACTCCAGTTAGTGTCAGAGTTGAGCTGAACGGTAGGACACCCAGCTGGTGCTGGAGAATGGGTGGGATTTTTCCCCACACATGTGGAGACGGGAGGTGTTGTGTGAGTGTAAGAATGAACGAGAGAGGCATCTCAGCATAAGAAATCAGTGGGGCTGATTTTAAAAGCAGACAAATGTGAATTCAAGGTTAAGTATTGAAAATAGAATGAAAATCCGGTAAATCGTTAAACATCCTGTGGTAAATGGAAGGATGATTGAAAGAGGAATGCTGCTGACAGGGAGCGTGGCCCCAGCCAGGCCAGTGAGCAAAGCCAGGGGTGGAACTCCCACACACCCGCCCAGGTCATTCTCAGAGAGGGACCCATTCACAGGCACTGATCATACAAACCCCTCAGAAACACCTCAGCACATTATAAATATTAGAAATAGAACAAAAGGCATTTTGCTTAAAGCATAAGGTAATGTAACTAGAAATTAATTTTTAAGTTAAAAAATGTGGAAATTTTAAAACACTCAACAAAGCTCAGTTCGGGCTGGTCTGAGTGCAGTGGGGTGTACAAGGAATTGATTACAAGCAGTTACAGGTTTCTTTGCTCCTTTTCCATTTCCACTGCTGCTTCACTTCACTAGCCTTTATTTAAAAAGTCAGCTTGAAGAAGGTACAACAATTCAACTTATAGAATATCCAGAAAATACAAATGAAAACATTGCATATTAAGACGTATGGACTGCTGTTAAAGCTTTGATCAGAATAAAATGCAGAGCCAAAAATACTTATCTGATTAAGAATAATTGGAAACACATGAATTAGGCATCTATTGAATAACTTAGAACAACAACAACAAAATAAAAGTAGAAGAGAACTGGCTGGGCGCGGTGGCTCACGCTGGTAGTCCCAGCACTTTGGGAGGCTGAGGCGGGTAGATCAACTGAGGTCAGGAGTTTGAGACCAGCCTGGCCAACATGGTGCAACCTCTACTAAAAATACAAAAAAAAAAAAAAAAAAAAAAAAATTAACCGGGAGTGGTAGTGGGTGCCTGTAATCCCAGCTACTCAGGAGGCTAAGGCAGGAGAATTGCTTGAACTCGGGAGGTGGAGGTTGCAGTGAGCCAAGATGACGCCATTGCACTCCAGCCTGGGCGACAGTGCGAGACTTCCTCTCAAAAAAAAAAAAAAAAAAAAAAAGTAAAAGGATCATGGCTGAATCCTGAGGATATCTTATTTCATGTAATGTGAAATAAGTCAGTCACAAAAGGACAAATACTATATGAATCCACTTGTATCAGGTACCTAGCCAAATTTATAAAGACCAAAAGGAGGCCAGGTGTGGTGGCTCACGCCTGTAATTCCAGCACTTTGGGAGGAGGAGGCAGGCAGATCACTTGAGGCCAGGAGTTCGAGACCAGCCTGGCCAACATGGTGAAACCCCATCTCTACTAAAAATATAAAAAATTAGCTGGGATTGGTGGTGTGCTCTGGTAATCCCAGCAACTCTGGAGGCCGAGGCATGAGAATCGCTTGAACCCAGGAGGCAGAGGTTGCAGTGAGCAGAGATTGCACCACTGCACTCTAGCCTGGGTGATAAAATGAGACTCTGTCTCAAAAAAAGAAAAAAAAAAAAAAAGGACCAAAACAAGAGTGGTTGATGTTTGATAGAGACAGGGTTTCAATTTGGGAAGATGAAAAGAGTTCTGGGAATATGTGGTTGTGAAGACTGTACAACAATGTGACTGTATTTAATGACACTGAATGGTACACTTAAAACTGGTTAAAATGATAAATTTTATGTTATGTATATTTTACGAAAATTTAAAAATATACAATAATTTTTAAAAAGTAAAATAGAATGAAAATATTAAAGATAAAAGCAGAAAACTAAAAATTAGAAAACATACCTGCAGAATTTGTTGATGGGAAGTATTTATCAAAGGTGAACACACAGAACTCTAACACAGCAGCAGAGGAAATGGTAGGAAGGCCATTGGCAGAAAAAAAGGAAATTTAGAAAGCAGTGCAAAATGTTACACGTGACGGTGGAGAGAAGACAAGAAAGAGTGTGGAACTGCAGCGCTGCAGAAAGGTGGCATTCCCGAAGCGGGCTGTGTGCAAACACAGGGGGCGTCTCGTCACAAAGAGTTTGAGAAAGATAGAATCTGTGGGCCGCATCCCCAGGGGCCATAACTTTGAGACCCCTTCCCCAACTCAGGACAAGCTATGGCATTAGAAGGTCAAACGCATATGAAGTAAACAGTAATTACAAAAGGAGCTATCCATGGTGAGGTCAGAAACACTGATAGACGGAAGGTCTAGGGAGGTTGGGAAGGGTTTGTACCACATAAAAAATGAAGGAATGAGAAAAAGTTAAATTATGTAAGAGTTCCTTCCTGAGGCGTACACCTCCAGGGGGCTCTGCTTAAAGCTTCTGTCAGTCTTTTCTCCAACTCACTGGGGTCCCCGTGAGTGCAATGACCAGCTACATCTAACCCACCATGCTGCCCCGACTAGTTTGTCCCACAGGCTCCCAGGGCCCAGAGGAAGGGCTGAACCGTGTGTTGGGCCCAGCACTGGCTGGAGAAGCACCTGCAACAACTGTGGCTTCTGCTGTGCTGGCCCACTGCTGTCACCTGGGAGGGCTGGGTCAACGCAGGGACCCCCAAGACCCTGCAGACAGGTCCTCGGACTGCAAAGTCTAAGGGTCCGATGTCTTAAAAATATAAACCGGTAAAACTCATGGCAAGCTAAATCAATAGGCACGGGAGAAAGGAGAAATGCACACAATTACAAACGGAAAAAGGAGAAAAAGCCACAAATACAGAGGAAAGAAAACACCTGAAGTGCATATATTACAAAACTACGCAACTATGTTGAAAAGTGGATGGAATTAATTTTATTTTTAAAAATGTCATTAAAATGGACTCTAGAAGGGCTCGAGGACCTAACTTGCCTGATGAGCAAAATCCAGAAATATACCACGGCAGGCCCAGACAGCCCCAGCTAGTTCTTCTACACTTAAGCAGAAAATAATCCAAAACCAATAGATGATTGTAGAATATAGAGGTTTTTGTTTTATAATATTTCTTCCTTTAAGTCAGCATAAAGTTAAATCTGGACAAAAAACACATAAAAGCAAGATGTAGAATGATGAATCTTAATTATAAATATTGATAACCAAAGTCATGATACTAATAAGTAAAGAACATCTCAGGAATACACTAATGATTTGGTCTTAAGTATTCTATTAATATAATTAAACATACTACTAGAGCAAAGGAAAAGACCTTCTGATAATCCCTCTGGACACTGAGAAGGCTTTGACAAAAATCTAACATCTACATTTTCCCCAGAGAGTCTTAATAGTTTGAGAACACACAGATACTTTTTTATTATGGCAAGGAAAATACATGTCTTCATACAAGTTAAACGCTGAGACATTAAAACGTCCCACTGATGTCACGAACAAGATAAGCATGCCACCTGAATCACTGTGACTCAACACTGATCTCAAATCAACTAGATACAAGAAAGAAATAAGAGACACATTGGAAAGGAGAAGTCAAAAGTATACCTTAGAAACAAGTAGGAATCACAATTTGTGGTTGATTATAACATTCATACATAAAAACCAACTACTTTCTTATACAATGGGATAAAATAGAAAATAAAGTGGAATAAATCATTCTATTGAAAATGATAGCCAAATGATAAAACATCTAGAAATAAACTATAAATTCAAAGCACCTTAGTGAACAAAATCATAAAACACTACTAAGTTACATAAAATTAGACTTAAACACAAGATTTCATGCTTTTGAATAGGAAGACTCAATCTGTAAATTCATTGTGACTCTAATTGAAAAAAGATTCATATGAGAGAGAGATTCAGAGTTGATGGGAGTGTTGACTTGAAAATACTGATATTAGTATGAATAATGCTTTAGAAATGAAAGGCATTCATAGAGATAAATAGAACAGAAACAGAACCAAACACTTAAAGAAATTTAGTTTACAAATAAGGCTGCATTTTGAACAACTGGGGAAAACACTATGACTGTATTTTAGAAATGCATTATTACATATTTATTGATACTGCTGACCACCATTTCGAGGAAAAAGTATGGATTTTTCCCTCATGTCCTGCAACAAATGAATTCCAGGGAGTCTGAAGATGTGAAGGTAAACCAATAAAACCATAAAGTTTCAGAAGAAAATGCGAGTAAGTCTATTTATAATCTCAGAATGAGGAAGGCTTTTAAAAACTGGAAACAAATCCCACGATCGACAAAGAAAAATACTCACAAATTGACAACATAAAAATTTAAACTCTATGCCAATAAATAAGGAAATCAATAAATAACATCGAAAGACAAATGATAAAAATATTTTAAAGACATAAGACAAAAATGTCCCAAAGTGCATGAGCAAATTAAGAAAAAGCCAAATAACCCAATTAGGAACTGGGTAAAATATATAAATGTATCAAAATTAAAACTACAAAAAAATTTTAAAAGATGTCCCATTTTATACACAAAATAAACCAAAATCAGAATAATATTCGTAAATATCATGTTTCACCAATTATATTGGGAAAAACATTAAGTTTGAAAATACCCAGTGCTATTATAGAAAGCTGAGAAATTGGGCCTTTTATTGTACTCTTGATGGAGTTACATCCTTCGATCAGTTTCTAGAAGATAATCTGGCAATAGCTATCAAAATTTTAAATACATGTAGCCTTAAACCCAGCAATTCCATTTCTAAGTTGGAATTTATACCGTTTTAGTCACAAAACTATGTCAAGATGTATGTACAAGTATGCCAATTATAGATTTGTATATAAAAATAAAAACTGGAAGTATCCATATGTTCACCAATAAAAGGCTATTCAAATAAATGATAGTCCGCTGAGATAATGGAATGCTAAGCAGCTACTAGGAGGAATGAGGTAGATCTTTATATGTTATTATGGGACGACCTCTAAGACAAAACACCACATGAAGAATGCAAGGTGCAGCGCCCTTCACAGAGCGTTAGTGCTGGAAAGGGAAGGTCTCTCTCCATAACCCCCGTCCCTCCTTCTTTGGCCTCTTATCTTCTTTTCTTCCTTTCTAGAAATGCCCTTAGAAGCTCATTAGTGGTCCCCTCTGAGAGAGAAAACAGGCAGTATGGGAGACTGTTGTTTTTAACCACTCATACTTTTCTAACTATGTGCACATCTATTCCTTATTATTACTTTATTAAAGGACAGAGAAGTTATTTGAGAGTCCAAAATATGCACAACTTGTTTGCATTTTGTGTTCCTGTATAAAATACAAAACCAAAAAGGTTTCTTTTTAAAGCAAAAATGTGGGAGGGATCAATTTTGGGATAATGATAAGAAATGAAGCATTCCTTTTATATATCAAAACACTTCTACTTGTTTCTAAAGACACTGTAACAGAAAAAAAAAAAAAAACCGAAAATCTTGTGCATGGTTCATCCATAGCATGTGGAAGGAATGCCTGCTGAGGAATGATCCTGCTCCAAGCCGCCTGAGGCTGGAATGTCCTGATCCACCAACTTTCTCGTAAGTGAGGTCTCTTGTCACACACAAGGTACCTCACACTTACACACACACACACACCGCACACACGCAAGCTTCCATCTTCCTCCAGTGCAAACAAAGTCATGTGCATTACCCAGAAATGAGTGAGCCAGATGGCTGGAAAAGCACATACAATTTATTTAACTCTGAAAATCAAATCTTCCCTCATGATGTTCCCACCTCAGGGATTAGAAGCAAATTAAAAATCTCTAGGGGCTCAGAAGCCTTCTATAATTTTGAGCTCTGAGCAGTTGTTGGATGACACAATGGAACAGGAGAGGTCTTTCTTGGTGAATTACCCTCTGATCTCATTAAAGAATAAGAATGAGACCATCCTGGCTAACATGATGAAACCCTATCTCTACTAAAAATACAAAAAATTAGCCAGGCATGGTGGCGGGCGCCTGTATTCCCAGTTACTCGGGGGGAGGCTGAGGCAGGAGAATGGCATGAACCCAGGAGGTGGAGCTTGCAGTGAGCTGAGATCATGCCACTGCACTCCAGCCTGGGCGATAATCTAAGGGAAGAGCTGTATCATCACTTAGGTTTAAAAATTAAAGTTTCTCTTGTTTTAAGTTGCCCATCTCCAGTGAATCCACCCAAGGACTTTGAGCCAGCTTTTGGGGCTGCAGCTGGGGTGGACTGGCTTGGAGCAGGCAGACTCCCAAAGGCCAGAACTCAGAATTGCTGGCTTGTCAGTCACTGAGGGTCGGCCAGCTCCTCCCTGCTGCCTGCCACTGGCCAGGTATCCAGAGAAGGGATGGGCCACACCATCCCCTCCCTGGCGCCTGCCATACTGGGGACCAGAAGAGTTCCCAGCCTCTACTTCCTGGCCCTGACACAGGCAGAAAGGGCCTAGGAATATGTTCACTTTATGTTGTGCATTTGTATGGATGCACACATTTCTAAGACTAATTAACTCCAGTGCATGTGAATCAGCTAACACATTATTTTTTTAAAGCCCACGTAAGTGGCTTCACTTAGCTGTAGCTATTCTTTTGGGCTGTTAATTCTAGTAGAACTCTTATTTGTCCTGTGGGTTCTGCAGAATAGAACAGATTTGCTCAACTCCTCAGTGTCTGAGAGCAGCACCTAGGAGTTATCTGGGATCCACCAAAGACACTCCGCGGGGCCTGGCCCTTGTTCAGAATAAACAGAAACCTGCGTCCCTTTGATCTCCTTGACAGGGTAGGTTTGCAGAAGTCAGGCAGGCTGGTAAAAACATCCTTAGTAAGACCAACAGTCTGTCTTTTTTTTTTTTTTTAATGTAGAAACAGCATCAAGCTGTTTCTCTCTACCGTCTTTGATAGAAATAAAAATAAAAATAAAAAGTTGAATTGCAGAAAAGCTAAGAGGTTTTTAGTTTTTGTTTTTTGTTTTCCTTCCACCAGTCAATTATTGGAAAGGATTTAGTGAGTCTGGTTTATTTTAGCTTCAATCTGGGTTTGTACACAAGCAAAAAGCAAATGTTGAATTTTCAGGTAGACCTTCATGCAGACATGCAAAACCAACTGTCTCGGTGGTGAGGAGCCATGGGGAGCTCTCCGAAGGGCTTTCCAGGCAGTGGGCTAATGGGCAAAATGACTACTCAGTGGCCCTGCTGACCGATGGTACGGATGTGCCAAGGATATCTATCAGCCCATCTGAGAATATGAAACAAAGTGCTGAGATTCTACTACCTAAAGTAACAAAGAAACCGTAAGCAACACGACTGACAGCCAGAAGGGAACACTGGAGTTGTGGCGTGTAATGCTGTCCTGGATTAGCACCCCCAAATCTCGCCAAGCCAAAGGCCTTGCCCATCTGTGAGTTTTCCACATGTACAGAACCAGGCGTGGTTACGCAAAGTCTTTGGACACGGCCTCCACGAAGTTGGGAGCCGACATCAGGATGCCGATGGTGCAGATGATGGTGAAGACCGAGAAGGCCATGAGGCACAGGCGGTCCACCACACAGGCGGCGAACTTCCACTCGCTGCAGACCGCCTCGCTTTCGTCCTGGCAGCGGAAGCGGTTGGCAATGTAGCGGACCTCCTCCAGGATCTTGGCCAAGTCCGGGTCCCCCTCGGGGGGTTGCCCGCCGTGCAGGAGGTGCTCATCGTGCGTGGGGGAGCAGGCCATGCGGCCACACACTACCCCAGAGTCGGGGGTCGGGACACAGTGCACGCCGTCCAGGCCGCGGAAGCCGATGTACAGCAGGTTCCCGTTGCTGGCGGGCGGCGGCGCCACGGCGCTCATCTCCACACTGGCCAGGCTGCAGCGCCGCTGCTTGTGCTGGCAGGCCGGGCGCACCTTGTCCTCCCCGGGCCTCTTCATTCGCAGGAACCACGCGCACCAGTTCAGAAGGATGACTCTGGTCTGGGGAGACAACAGAACGTTAAGAGCAGCCCTGAGGCGGACACGGGCTGATCCCAACAGCAGTAAGATCCTACAATACAAGCCCTGCTTCATTGGTCCTGGGGGTAGCAGCCTCCACTGCCTCCCGGATGATTTTAGCAGGCAAGCAGTGCTTGCGTATGACAAGCAGTCGAGTTCAACGTGAGGCAAGACTAAAACTGATGCACCCTGGGAACAAGCTAAATTGTTCTCCGGGGCAGGCACACTGCAATCTCAGGGAAGACAGCTTCGTGGAAGGGGAAGGCTATCTGAGCTGTGTAAAGAGGGAAAGTCAATTTCCCTCTCTGATCCTTCCTCATCTGTAACCCGGGGACCTTCAGATCTAACTCTGGCTCCCACACTACCTGTTAGGTGCCCTGGAAGGCCACTGCAAATTCGCAAAGAGTGCCTGGGGGAGGTTGTACATTTTCAAATGCAATCCCAGGATATCCATGAGACACCAGGTAAACTTGAAGCTTGAAGCACTTCAGGCTTCCAACATCAGATTACCACATCTCTTGTGATGACGTGACCACTTTGCAAAGCTGTTTTTCAAAGTACCCTGATAAAAAGCAAACACCAAGGAACTTCATGTGAAACAGAAACTAGGTTAGTGGTCTCCAATCTGATCCCAAGATTTGAGAGGCGGTGCCGTGCCCCATAGGTGCTACATTGTTAAGGCATAAATACTTATTAAAGTGTTTTGATCTATTTAAAAAGAGAGCCTTGGGTATTATTTCTTTTGGCCAGGGGCTCTGTGAAAAATTTCCTGAGATACTAACGTGCTGTGAACCAAGGCAGTTTCGGAACCTCTAACCTAACTCAGTAGGCTTCAATGAAGACCGAATAAGATGATGTCTGGGAGAGTACTTTGAAAAGTTGAAGGCAGAAGTTGGCAAACTTTCTGTAAAGGGCCAGGCAACTACTCACTTCTGCTGATGTAGCACACATTGAAGGCGTCAAATGGATGGGCATGTTTTCTAAAATAACTTATTTACAAAAACACTTGGTGGACTGGATTTGGCCACCTAGGCCATAATTTGCTAACTTCTGGTCTAAAGTGTGTCCTAGAGTGCATGAAAGAAGCTGGAGAAAAATCACCATGGAGTTTATCCTGGTTTTGCCTCTCATGGAAAGAAGAGAGACAACTGAAGCCTCAATCCAGGTAAAGAAGCATTCTTGCAAGCCCATCCATGTAAAGTGTATGAAAAGTGGGCCTTTTCCCTGAAATTATCCAGATCCTGATTTCATTTACATTTTGTTTTATGATTTTGGGGAAATTCCATCAGTAACCTAACAGGTTTATTTCCTATCTTTAGGAAATAAATATACAGATAGTAAATTGTGCAGTTCGTATCTGCAGAGCTTTCATTCTTGGTCATCTTTTTATAACATCTTATCAAAGATAACTGCAACAAACAGGTCTGGGGACAAGAACAGGGAAGCACAAGACCAGTTTCATTGCAGCTATAAAAATAACCCTTTGTTTCCCATTGTACTTTACAAGCAGGCGGCACTCTGCGTGTCCTGGAAAGGTTGGGTCTGCTGACCTTGGAGGGTTTTTTATGATCAGTAAGGAGCAGGGACATATGGCCCCAGGTGAAACCTTGGGTGAGTTGGGCCGTCCATACAAGGCTCATGAGACAAGTCATCTCACTTGGGCCTTTCAGGGTCCGGTGAAATGAGTATAATCCCCTCACTTTACAGACCAACAAACTGAGGTTCAAAGAGGCTAATAAACTGGCCCAACGATGTACAATGAGTAAGTAAGTGGTTATGTCACTTCACATGTTTAGCCTTTCCCAGTCTCATCTGTCAAAGGGTCTGTAAGATTCTCTTCAAAACTCGCACAACCCCACCCCTCTGGGAAGGCACCAGAAAGCCTGAGCCAGCTCTCCTGGGAGGCTGCAGGGCAGTGAGTGTGCCTGCATCCAGTGGCAGCAGTGCACACAGGGAGCGAGCAGCACCAGGCACTTCTCCCTCCATGGCAGGGTCTACACGTCCCCCAGTGCACATCTCAAGCTCATACGATACACTCTGCCAAGTCCATTTTGAATTCCATGGCCTGAATCATTAACTTTCAAAGCCAAAGCATTTAAAAGATAAAATTATCCTCTTGGCACTCCTCAAACTGTGCTCTTGACCTCTTCTGTTAGGCTACAGTTTTGTTTCTGGCTGTGCAAATGTCACATAATGCCACTGCACCCGGCAGTATCTTCTTCATAGCAACAGATCATAATAAAAGTCCCTCGGAGGCTGTTTGTGTTTCACATACACATGGAATGAAAGAAAAATGCAGTGTGCTATATAAAGCGAGAGAAATGCATAAGCTTCATCTTTCATTTGCAGCCAATTGGTTTTAATAAGCTTTTATGCTGAGAGGTGAATAATTAGCATATGTTCTTAATTAAGATTGTTCTAGAGCAGTAGAGTGCTCCAGGTCGTTAAAAATGGTTTTGTGTCTCAATGTCTTAATTCTCTTATCTTCTCATCAGTCAAAATACTTACAAGAAATGAGAATGTTTAGATTTTTGTATTTGCATAAATAAATACTAGAAGGAAAAATAAGGAATTCATTAAAACGGTTATCAGTATTGACGGTAGATGCAGGGTAAAGGGGAAGGAATGGGAGCAGGATTTCCTTATGTATAATTTTAATTTTATTTTGACTTTAGAAACAGGTAAATGTATTACCTGCTTCAAACTGATGGATGGACAGACAGAAAGAGCAGCAAACCAACAAGCCTCCAGCTCTCAGGCCTCTCACCTCTGGCCTTGCATTTTCTTAAGTGTGGGTCAGCGTTATAAGGAAATCAGACAAAAATACAGGTGAATGTGTGCAAATGTACCCCAGTGTTTTAAGGGGGGGCCTTCACAAAACAAGCCTCAGGGAATGTAGTGATGTGGTCTGTGTGTGAGACATCACCATGTAGGCTGAGCTCACATTACTGCTTGTGTAATGAGCTACAAGTGAGTCTTTTTTTTTTTTTTTTTTTTTTTTTTTTAGGAGATGGAGTTTTGCTCTGTCACCCAGGCTGGAGGGCAATGACACCACCATAGCTCACTGGAGCCTGGAGCTCCTGGGCTCACATGATCCTCCCACCTCAGCCTCCCAGGTAGCTGGGACTACAGCCACACACCACTGTGGTGGGCTCACAGGTAAGTCTTTACTAAATAGTGTATAAGGGGAATGGGCCATGTGGGTGAAACTCTGAGAAGAAACAGTAATTTTGTAAAGCATTTCTTAAGAAGCAGTCTTTGCTAAGTGAGCATTCAGGTAACAACTCCACAATGACTGTTTCAGGAGGCCCAGCAATCCCCTATTCCTGGAGGGTGCCTGACAGCATCTCACCCCCTACAGCTGCATTTAGCTTGTTGGTGATTCCTAGATTCCCTTCTGAACTGGGACACAAGTGCTCTCCAAAGACAGACAACTTTTGGAATGTGAGGGCCTTTTTAGCTCCCCAAATCCTTAGGCCAGGCTCTCTAGACAGGAGGACGGGGAAGCTTTACAAAGCTCACATGAAGAGGGGAAGAAGCTCAGGCCCTCCCTAGGCCCTCATCAAGGTTTCCTGACTGCCAGGCAAGGGTGGATGCAGAGCTCTGGACACCGTGCAGGAGAGGATCCCTGGGTGGGTGAGCATCCGCAGATGTGGCCGGGCACGGTGCCAGCAGCTGGGGCAGGAGTGGTATGGCCCAGGCTAAGCTGACAGGCTGTGGGATGCCATCCTTTCTGTTTTCATCCGTTTCCTTTTATCCCTTCCCCCTTCTGCACTGGTGACAATTAGTCTTTGTTTCATAGACTTCTGGTTGGATGATATCCCTAGATGTACTGAACGTACATATTTGTACACAGCTCATTCCGTTTCTTACTCTTTGCTCCTCATTCTGTTGTGAAGCCTCAACCATGTTGCTACGCATCTGTCTCATCTGTTGCTTCCAACTGCAGCACAGTGCTTCACGGCATGCATCAAAAAACAAACTAGCTTCTCAAAACACCGTGCTGATTGATAGAACACACAGGGCAGCCAGTTTGAGAGCCTTACTCTACTCTGCAGTTAGATTAGACAGCAGTGCCACGGGGCATCCGGGAACACGTGCACCATGACTGCACACTACACAAAGACACGTCAATAGGTGACGAAATACAGAAACAAAGCTATTTCTGGCTGGGAACAATGGCTCACACCTGTAATCCCAGCACTTTGGGAGGCTGAGGTGGGCAGATCACGAGGTCAGGAGTTCGACATCAGCCTGGCCAACATAGTGAAACCCCATCTCTACTAAAAATACAAAAAAAAATTGGCCAGGTGTGGTGGCAGGCACCTGTAGTCCCAGCTACTTAGGAGGCTGAGGCAGGAGAATTGCTTGAATCCAGGAGGTGGAGGTTGCAGTGAGCCAAGATTACACCACTGCACTCCAGCCTGGGTGACATAGTGAGACTCCGTCTCAAAAAAACAAACAAAAAACCCAAAGCTATTTCTTTAGGAATGCCCATTTTTTGTGTGATTTTAAAAATAAACCCTAGGAGGAGCCTCCTTTACAGGGGGGCTCCGACTCCATCGGGGGTGGGAGGAACGTACCCACTTGGGCATCTTGCCCCCGTCGGGGTCGTGGTGGTGGTACTGCAGCACGATCACTGTCACCACCACCGAGAGGCCCACGATGATCATGGTGCTGGCGAAGTACTGGGCTGTGGAGAGAACAGATGCAGGGTGAGACCCGGGGATCCTGTGGCACTGCACGTCACAGGACAGGCACACCCTGATCAGGTTCTCTGACCGTCAGGGCCTCAGGGTGCAGTGATGCCCATGTGTCCAGGCCTGCAGCCCACATTCTGGGTGGGCAAAACCAGCCAGTGTGGTCTGACTTCCCGCCCACGGAGTGACCTTCCCTCACTTCATTGCACTTCCATGCACTCTGGCCGACTTGTCAGTCAATAAGAGCTAGCATCGCCTGGCAGGATGGTGATAAGCTTGTTCCTGTGGGTAAATACTGGATGTGAGGGCATGGGAACCATCCAGTGTTCATGATGCAGGCCTCTACTGTGCTCCAGGGGCACAATGAGGGCAAACCTGCACACCACCTGGCTGCCAGCTGTCCAGCCTGAGGAAGGGGTCAGTGGCAGGGACTTTTCAGGACGAGAACTTCAGTCTCAGCTTTGGTTCTAATGGGTCATGGGTGTCCTTCCACCTGGGCCCAGGTGAGGGGCAGCATGGAGCATCTGAGTGCTTCCATCCTGGTCCACTAGCTACTGGCTGTGAGTTTGGAGTGGATGCTCAGCCTCTTCGGGCCTCAGCTCTCCAATGGGGGTGGTACAAAGGATGACGTTTGTGTCCCCACGAAGTTCATGGGTTAAAACCCTAGTCCTAACTGGGATGGTATCTGGAGGTGGGGCTTTGGGAGGTATGAGATTGTGATTTATAATAAGAAATATGTATTTAGTCTTCCTCCCATTTCCTGGCACACAGCTCCTAAAACCTTTGAATCTCTGAAGTCATCAGTGTCTTTTTATATGCTAATGAAATGATTTATGGCTGAGGTTCCTGGATACCCTCAGGATGGGGTTTGGTTGCCAGGGGAACCAGCCAAGTAATTAGAGAGTTGGAACCTTCAAGCTCTGTCCCCTCTCCCAACCCTTGACCCCTGGGGAGGAAAGAGGTACTGACGGTTGAGTGGATCGCCAGTGGCCAATGATGTAATCAATCATGCCTATGTAGTGAAGCCTCCATAAAAACCCAAAAGGATGGAGTTCTGTGGAGACCTTCCCAGTGCTGAACACGGGGAGGTGTTTGGAGGGCAGAGAGGGCATGGCAGTTCCATGCCCCTTCCCAAATACCTTGCCCTATGCATTTCTTTCATCTGACTATTCATCTGTGCTTTATAATTAATGAATAAATATCAGTAAAATGTTTCCCTGAGTTTACTAGAGTGAGTCACTCTAGTAAATGGCTGAACTCAAAGATGTGCTTTTGGGAACTCCCCGATTTATAGACACTTGGTCAGAAGCATGGGAAGCCGGAACTTCTAACTGGCATCTCAAGTAGAAATGGTCTTGTGAGCCTTAATCTGTGAGTGCTGTGCTAACTCCAGGTGGTGTCAGGACTGAAGTGAACTCACTGTAGGACGCCCAGCTGGTTTCCAAGAATTGGTCGATGTGGGAGAAACGCCCCGCTTTGGTGTCAGAAGTGTTGTGTAAGTAGAGAAATGGTGAGTGATTTTCTCAGGGGCCTTCAACAGGTCCTGAGGGTGCAGCCCTCATGAATGGGATTAGAGTCCTTCATAAAAAGAGGCTAAAGAGCTAATTCACTCTCTTTTTGCCACGTGAGGCCACAGCGAGAAGAGGGCCAGCTGTAAACCAGGGAGTGGCCCCTCACCAGAGCCCTGCTGCCACCCTTATCGAGGACGTGCAGCCTTGCAGAACTCTGAGAAATAAATGTCTGTTGCTTAGGCCCCCAGACTACAGCAATTTGTTACGGTAGCCTCCATTAAAATAGGAACTTCTTCCTTGCAGGATTTGTGCAATGATGAGCAATTACACAGGCCAAGATGTCTAGGAGAAAGGAGGGGGCATTCTTTAGTGGGCAGCTCTAATTATTAAACCTTTGGTGTGGCTGTCCACTCAAGGGGCTGAACTCTAAGCGGAAAGCATCAGGGTGCAGGGCGCTAAGCATTCAGCTAGCCCTCACAGGCCCTCACGCCAGGAAGGAACTCACTGCCTTCCTACAAAGACCAAGAGGTACCTGGGAGGAGCTCTGCCAGAGCTGGAAGTTTGAGACCTAAAGTTAGCATCAGGGCCCCTGAGAAAAGGAAGGAGACTGGAGCAAACCGTGACCCTTATGAGCTGAATTATGCTTCCCCCTAGAATTCATATGTTGAAGCCCCAACCCCTAGTACCCTAGAATGTGACTGTACTTGGAGATAGGGTCTTTAAGGAGGTAATTAAGTACAATTAGGTCATCAGGGTAAGCCCTAATCCAATCTGACTGGTGTTCTTTTAATGAAGAAGAGAAAATTTGGACACACAGAGAGACACCAGGGATGCAGGTGCACAGAGGAACTACCAGGGGAGGACAAAGCATTGTGAAAGTGGTTGTCTGCAAGCCAGGGGGAGAGGTCTCAGGTTAAACCATCCCTAATGGCCCCTTGGTCTTGGACTTTCAGCAGTGCAACTGTGAGAAAATAAATTTCTGTTAGTTATTTAAGCCCCTAAGTCCATAGTATTTTGTCACGGCAGCCTGAGCAGACCAACCACCTCTGGAGAGATGGGGGTCAAAGGATTGCCCAGACTGAATTTCCATCAACAGAGGGCAGCAAAGCTGATGTCCCTGGGGCCATCAACATCCCATCCTTCGAGATGTGGGCTATGCACCAACCAAGCCTTTCCCAGCGGGTCATCAGTCCAGAGAGAGAAGGCCTGACAACTGCCCCCGGAAGGGAGGCTGCAAATCTCTACTGAAAGCAGTGTGCTGGAAGGTAGAAAGAATGGAGTCAGAATCAGGTGGAAAGGTGGTTCTTCCCTGTCTGGATGGTACCAAGAGAAAAATGATACCCACAAAGGCTTTTCATACCAACAGTTTCTCTGGCCAAAATACTGCACATACAGGGAGTTCCACAAAGAAGGGCCTTTGCTGCTTGGTTCCTAAAGCCTGGGGGTATCCAGGTAGGGCTCTCCCTCTAGCCCACCCCCAGGTAGACACAGCATAGGTCCTCAAACAGCAGGGGCCAGCAGGTGTAATGACAGTCTGTATACCTCCTTCCAACCTTCCCTGCCCAGTGGGAGTGGAGACTTGTTTTTGTTGTCCCTCCCTGGGTAGAGGATCATGCCTTATACCTGTGCAAAATATATTTTTCTCATTCATATTTCCCTAGAAACTTTTATACAGAGACATTGAGTTATCTCAGGACACAGTAACTGTGTGCTTCTCCCATTTTAACAAAGGCTTTGTGGGAAAACAACATCTTAAGCTAAAATGATGCATCTCTAACGATGAAATATCTGGCTTCAAAGCAAGCATGAGGAGGAGAATTATGAGGGGAAGGGGGGCATTTCTGTGAGATAAAAGTCAAACCTCAAAGCTGAATATCCCCTTCCCCTTACTTGGGCCCGGGTGACTCTGAATAGTTACAGCAAATCATCACCTTCCAGAGAAAATGGGGGCAGTGCAGCCCTATTTCTTCTAGTTTCATCTGCTGGGAAATCCTGGGCACACTCTAACCCTAACCCCATATCTCTAAGAGAGGAGCCCAACTCTTGCCTTACCTATCAATGGTACCGAATCGGATGTTGCGGGCATGATCTCAGCCACGAGCAGCATGAAGACGGTAAGAGAGAGTAAGACTGTTATCCCTAAAACATAAACACACAGCGGTTCCTCAGACAAAAACAGACAAGAAGGCCTCAATTCTGTCTAACGAGGGCTCCTAACCTGACACTCAAAAGAAAGGGAGGCGCTGGGGGGAATGTCGTGGAATGCACGTTTTCCCTATGTATGGGCGTGTGCATTTTCCAGGGGACATTCCATGCCACTTACCAGAGTCCCAAAGGAGTCTCTTATGGAGACAAGTTTAGGACCCAGAATTTTAAAAGCATCAACACAAACTGAAAAATTTAACTTGGCACAATTATCTCTCATATTCTCTGTAAAATATTATTGAGAAGTAGTTTCACGTAGCAGGAAAAAGAAAATATGCAGTCAGGAGACCTGATTTCAGGTCTTACGTTTGCTACTCAGCTAGCTATGTGACCTTAGATACAACATTCAACCTTTCTGAACCTCATACTCAGAAGATATGGGTTTGGGAATGATTTCTACCATATGCTACATCTGATGTTTAGCAACTCTTTAAGACATTGGGAAACTCATTCCACCATTCAAAATCTTGGTTTCCTTAGCTTCGTATGGGAGTGATCGTAAGAATTACACTGGGTACTGTAACATACAAATGCAAGCTGATACTAAGCTAAATTGTTCCCTCGATGACCAGTCGCCATTGAGGAACAGGTGGGGTGGCAGGAGGGAAGAAAGCACAGGCCTCTCAAGGCAGAATGGAGCTGGCCCCCTCCCTGTGCATCCCCCATCCTCTGAGGGTCCTCCAGTATTCTCAGGATTACACAGCCGTCCAGCACGGAGCCCGAATCAGGGACCTCTGGTGTCCTGGAGCCACCGTGGGCTCGGAGGTCCATGGGATGAGCCAGGGAATCCCCAGGAACCCTGATGGAGTCCTGCGCTGTCTGCTGTGAGCCCTCCAGAGCTGATCTCAGCAGAAGGTCTCCAGTCTCAGACTCCCGCCAGACACTGGGGCGCTTACCCAGGGAAATCTTCTCCCCGGAATCTGCAGGAAGCAGGAACACCAGCAGGGCGAGGGCGGAGATGAGCACACAGGGGATCAGCAGGTTGAGGCCATAGTAGAGTGTCCTGCGGCGCATGGTCACTGTGAAGGTGACATCGGGGTAGGGCTCTTTGCAGCACTCATAGAACCTTTCACTCCTCTTGCCGGGGATTCCTCCATAGGGAGGAGGAGAGAAGGAGCCATTGTTAGAATACAATAAATTACCCTGTTTATTTCAATGTGTATACCACACACAAGCACAGTCCTAAAGTTTGCAAAGTGCTAAAAAAAAAAAAGGGGGGGGTTGTAATTAGCTTGAATAAAACCTTGTTGATTTACTATAGAGTTAAGAGTATTTTAGTGATAGTTGGCCAAATTGGTACATATTCTTTTGGTGGATTGGAAACACATGATTATAATAATTATAAATAATACATTACCAATTTTACACTGTTATAAATGTAATCACTGTTTTCCTATTTTAAAATAATCAAATATAGGTTCCCATCAACTGAAATTTGCTGTTCAACTTGCTTTTAGAAATGGAGTGGATCTGCATAACGTAGAGAGATCTATCCTCACACTGGTTTGTTTAAATGCATCCTCACTGCAGTTGCCAGTTCCTCTTGGAAAGCATGGCATATCCTAACTGTTTTCTGTTTCTCCTCCTGTAGCTCTCAGTAAATTATGGAGACTACTGCAAAATTCAATAAATGCTCGCACCAGAAAGGACAGTGGAAAATCCCAAACTTTTAAAGCTTGCCCAGGAATAGGAAAGCTTTCTTCCAGGCGGTTAGTCCCATGGCTTACCCACTAGGTCCCATTCTCCATTGGGGATATAGCCACTGATATCTGCCTCCTGCATCTGCAGATCCAAGGACCAGCCTCCGTAAGACCAGGACCCAAACTTCAGTTTGCAGTGCTGCACATCAAAGGGAAACCAGCGTACATCGATGTAGCAGGAACTCTTGAATATGCCTGTGTGGGTGATGGAAACAGAAGACTGAAACGGAAGCTGACTGAGATGTGCTGAAAATACACAGCAGTTCCTTCAGCCGGTTCCGCCCTCCGCACTGCAGCTAACACAGTCCAGAGCAAATGGAATCTGTCTTTTTATTTATTCGCAAAATCTGTAAAACAGAATCTCAGCTAAGCTTCACTGTCTTTTAAAATCCAAACGTAACACTGACATGCTCTCTCAAAGACTGTTTTGTGGGCTTTTTGTGCAAAAAGTTAGCTCTATAATCTGCATTTACCATGAGCATCTTCAGACTCTAAATAATAAAAGTAAAGAATGCAAAATATCTCAGAGAAGTTGATAACCCTGATGATGAAGTTAGAAATAGAATCTAAAAGGTGTGTGTGTGTGTGTGTGTGTGTGTCTGTTTGGTGCGGGGTGAGGTAGGCATTTTCTTTAGGTTAAAAATGGGAAGAACACATGATTATCGAGAAATACAATCTAGAATTCTGGTTAAAGCTAGAATTTTAACTAATTTAAATTCTAGATGAAGAACAGAACAAGCTGGGCACAGTGTCTCATGCCCGTAATCCCAGTGACTCTAAGACATTGACGTGGGAGGGTCACTTGAGACTAGGAGTTTGAGACCGGACTGGGCAACATAGTGAGACATCTCTAATAAAAAAAATTAGCTGGGTGAGGTGATGCATGCCTGTAGTCCCAGCTACTCAGAAGGCTAAGGCAGGAGCATTGCTTGAGCCCAGGAGTTTGAGGCTAAAGTGAAGTGAGCTATGATCGAGCCCCTGCACTCCAGCCTGGGGAACACACCTAGAATCTGTCTGTAAGAAAAAAAGTTAAAACAAACAAACAAACAAACAAACAAACAAAAACAAGAACAGATAGATAGGTTTAAGCTGAAGAGATGGTGCTTGAAGGAAGAGTTTCCGCTGAAAAGAGCTATTCCAGGCTAGGACAGGTTGGAAGTGGATTTCCCAGAGGGCCAAGGGGAGGAAACCAGATAGAGGCCACTCCAGTTATTTACACTCATGTGCTCTTCCCTGCCCAGAGGAAGGCTGCATGGCACAAGAAGACAGGCACAGACTCGGTGTCCAGGTGTTCCTGGGGCAGGGCTGGCACTCTGCAAACTTCTGTTACTGAGTTACAGAAAGAGTGCACGCAGGAAGGGCCTCCACAGCCTTGCACACAAGGACCCCACCCCACAACCGAGTTGGGAAAAGATACACATTTTGTCCCCTGAAGTTCCTTTAAGTATGCTTTGCGTCCTTACATGAAATGTTTATAGGAATCTGGAATCATCACAGACAATCCCCCTCCATTAATAGTTGGATCCCCCCAAAACCCACCTTGTCTGCCAGTTAGTTGGAAAGCTTTGTAACTTCATGAGCCCATTTCTACGAAATAATGGCCCGAGACAGACAGAGAATTTCTAGAGACAGAAAGCAGATCAGTGGTTGCTGGGAGTAGGAATGGGAATTAACTGCAAACAAGCAAAAGGGATCTTTGTGGGGTGATGGGAATGTTCTAAAACTAGACTGTGGTAATGGTTGCATAAGTCTGTAAATATACTAAAAGTTGTTGAATCATGTACTTAAAATGCATGATATGTAAATTCTCTCTCAATAAAGCTGTTAAAAAATAAACACATGAAATGGGGGGGAAAGTCATGTTATGGTCAAGTCTCTATTTCAAAGCTTGAACTCAAAACATTCTTTCCTATCCATGCCCCTCTAACTACAGACAGGGCAGCATCCTGGGACTCGTTCTACACTCCCAGGGAGCAGGCAGGGGTTTCCCAATCCAGGCGGCCCTGGGCCTTTCCTGCCAGCGTAAGGAAGCCCCTCATGGTCACAAGACAACGTGTCCTGTCCTGACCGGAATCCAGGGCCACTGCAGTGGGGACACAGGCCTGGAGCTCCAGAGGGGGCTGCTGCACTCAGGCAGCTCGAGGCTTGCAGTGCTGGTCCTGCAGCTGAAAATAGCCTCAGCCTTCCAAACAACCTGCAGCAGCATATTCTACACTGGTGACTACCGGAGGCTGTTTTCTAAAATAGCCCTCATAACAGAAGCTGCAACACGCAGGCCTGGCGAGAAAGACCTCGGGAGTGATGGAAGGCTCCCCCCACTACCCCTGTTTGCAAGGGTCCTGCTGGTAGGAGGAAATGCCAGGGCTAGCAGGAAAGCGGATGCTTCGAGAAGCCTGAACAGCTGGACTTCTTCAATCTCTTCCAATATTATTGGGAGGTGTCTACCATTGACAGGTTCACTCGCTCCTTTGTTCATTCAGGGATAAATGCTAAGGTGAGCAAAGGCTGACTGTGCCCCCAGATGCTTGTCACCTGCTGACAGGGAAGGCACTCAGACAGCAACCGAGAAGGCACAGCCAGTATGTGTGGTATGTGAGTGGTGTGAATAGTGTATCTGGTTTGAGAGTGCATGCCTGCATGTGTGTAAGTGGTGTGTGTGAGGGTTGTGAGTCGTGTGTGAGTGGTGTGTATGGTGTGTGAGAGTGGTGTGTAAGTGGTGTGTGTGAGGGGTGTGTGTGTGTCTGGTGTGTGTGTGTTGGTGGTTTGAGTGGTTTGTGTGAGTGGTATGTGTGGAGTGGTGAGTGGTGTGTGGGTGGTATATTTGTGTGAGTGGTGTGTGAGTGTTGAGTCGTGTGGGTGGTATGTGAGTGGTGTGAGTGGTGTGTGAGTGTTGAGTCGTGTGGGTGGTATGTGAGTGGTTGTGTGAGTGGTGTGTGTGTTGAGTCATGTGGGTGGTATGTGAGTGGTTGTGTGAGTGGTGTGTGTGATTGTGAGTGGTGTGTGTGTTGTGTGAACAGTGTGTGTGGGTGGTGTGTATGAGTGGTGTGAGTAGTGTGAGTGGTGTGAGTGGTGTGTGTGAGTACTGAGTGGTGTGTGTGTGTGTGAGGTGTGTGTGAGTGGTGTGTGTGAGGGGTGAGTGGTGTGTGGTATGTGTGAGTGGCTGTGTGTGAGTGGTTGTGAGTGGTGTGTGTGTGAGTCGTATGTGTGAGTGGTAGTTAGGTGTGGAGGTAATTGCAGGTTGCCTCTGAGCAGAAAGTTAAACAGCTGCAGTGTGGGAGATCACCCTGGAATAAACACATTAAAAATCTTCTAAAAGATCAAAAACCCCAGCTGTTCCTATCAATATGCTAGTGCGCACTCTGCATGCACCTTTAGGCCATAAACCCATTTCCCTTGCCCTGTGAATCGACTGAAAAGATGGACTGGTGGGAAAGAACCAATCCAGGGAGCACTTAGCCTTGGAGGTGAGACACTGTTGGGAAGAAGTCAGCCGCTAGAGAGCTCTCCCTTGAAACCACCAGACCTTGCCTGTAACCTGCGTGTGCTCTTTAGCGCACGCACTCAGGATCCTGGAACTGTCATATCTCACCCCCGGCAGCTGGAGCGCTGCACCTGCCAAGACACTGAGTCCCGCAGGGAGGAGGATGGCAAGCTGGAACTGAGAAGCAGAGCCTGGAGAGGTGGCTTGCCAGGCTGGAAGGTGAGGTGGCCACTGCCCGGCAAAGGAGACTCGCTGTATTTGTACATTGGCTTTAAGGCACACATGGCAGAAAATAAGGACATAGTGGCAAAGACGGCTTGATTGAGACAAAAGAGGAGGATGGACTTCTGGGGGTAGAAAGCACACAGAAGCACAGAAGAGAAGAGAGAGGAAGAGGTGGGAGTGAGCAAAGGCGAAGCAAAGAGCTGGTCCACCACACGGGGGCACCGGCCAGACTGACTGACACCCAAACTCGCTTCAGTTTTCTAACTGGAAGAGGACAAAGGAGGTGCAGCTTACCTGGAGGCAGGTACTGGCAATGCCCAGAAGAATTCACCAACACGTTAGTGTGGAATGTGGCGTCAAAGCGCTCATCAGCACTAGAAACAGGAAAAGGACTGCATGAGCCAGTGCCACCAGGCTGTGGATTTCCCGAAGCCCTGGGGTCTGTCTTTGATGGAGCAGCAAAGACCTTGAGAGGGGCCCCTGTCTGTCCTCACAACCCCACACCCTGCCTGAGAGCACCACTGGGGCTGGCCTGGGAGGTCTTCCCCGGGCACAGCTTGGAAGGGCCAGTGTCTACCCCCATTTCAATTTTCACACCGAACTGGTGATTTTTCTCACAATGTATATAAAACCAAGCTCTTAACCAAATGAAACCTGTAAACAACTCTGGAGGACATCGGCAGATGTGACATTTTCATGGTGTCTAGAAGAACAGAGGGTGGGTGAGGCACGCTGCCACCCTGTGAGCCTCATGGGGCAGGGTTTTCACTCGCTGTGTCCAAAGCTCTAGTTCCAGCCTCTTGAAGCGGACCCACACTTGGTTTGTGCTTCACATATATATCTTTTTTTTTTTTTTTTGAGACAGAGTCTTGCTGTGTTGCCCAGGCTAGAGTGCAGTGGCATGATCTCGGCTCACTGCAAGCTCCACCTCCTGGGTTCATGTCATCCTCCTGCCTCAGCTTCCCGAGTAGCTGGGACTACAGGTGCACACCACCACACCTGGTTAATTTTTTTGTATTTTTAGTAGAGACGGGGGTTTCACTATGTTAGCCGGGATGGTCTCGATCTCCTGACCTTGTGATCCACCCGCCTCAGCCTCCCAAAGTGCTGGGATTATAGGCGTGAGCCACCGTGCCCGGCCCACATATATATCTTGAATGACTGAACTGCAGGTGCAGGAGGGAGCTGGACACCACAACCCCAGAGGGCTTCCAGCTCCACAGTTAGCGATGAAAAGAAGGAGAGTGAGGGAAGACAACAGAAGTAAGTGCGAGTTTTAGACGGATGCACCTCTGCCCCTCTCCGTCCCCTGTTCCAGCCTCCTGCAGCCAGGAGTTAACAACTGGGATAAAGGACACACACCCACACACACACAGCCCCAACAGCAATTACACCAACAGCCTGTACTAGCCTTGTCTTTTATTTTCTGGATTCTGATGTGTTGACATCTGGGGCTTTGCTGACTCTGGAGGCCCCTTGGAGAGATAGTAAACAACTCTGGCCTTTCAAACACAAATCAATCAATCCAGAACCCATACCCCCACCCAAACACATCCTTTATCAGGCTGTCACACTGGGGTTGACACCAGTCCTGCTCTCATCACTGCAGGACCAGGTAAAAGTCAACCAGGAAGAGTCCCTATGCCCCAGGGCCTACTGCAATTATTCTAAGGAGCTAATCCTAAACCTAAGCCTGCGTGCCCTGCTCCTCCCTTCCTTCCTGCAGAAGCCACAATGAAGGACGGCCCTTGCTCAGGTTTCCCGCACTCTCTCGGCCTCCCGCGTGGCCCTGGTGCCTCCCTGTGTCCCTGCATGTGCTACGCTTCCCTTTTTTTTTGAAATGGAGTCTAGCTCTGTTGCCCAGGCTGGAGTGCAGGGGCACGATCTCGGCTCACTGCAACCTCTGCCTCCTGGATTCAAGCAATTCTCCTGCCTCAGCCTCCTGAGTAGCTGGGATTACAGGTGCGTGCCACCACTCCCGGCTAATTGTTATATTTTTAGTAGAGATGGGGTTTCACCATGTTGGTTAGGCTGGTCTTGAACTCCTGGCCTCGTGATCCACCCCCACTTAGCCTCTCAAAGTGCTAGGATTACAGGCTGAGCCACCGCGCCTAGCCTGTCCTTCTGCTTCTAAGAACAGTGAGTAAAACTGCTTTCCTTCAGGACAGTCACTTCTGTGTCTAAGTGTCTCACCATGCCTGATTAAAACCAACCCTGGGTACCCTTAAAACACAGCCCTACTGGTAAAGAAAAATAAACCACCTCAAAAAAACACAGGCAGCCAGTCAAAGTACCAGCACCCCAGAGTAAAGCTCCCCTCATTTTGGCCACTATGGCCCCTGCAGGAGCTGCCCATGACTACAGAGCCTCAGGCAGCCTCTCCCATGTCTGAGATTTCTCAAGGGGAAACTTAGAATCACAGATACCGGAGGACAGTCTTCAGCATGCGACACACAGTGGAGGATACACACCAAAAAAGATCCAAAAAGAATGAGTCAATGAAAAGAAGGAAAAATCACTTCTTAAAAAAGTAATGTCCTCACAACATTCAAGAGGATATAGCAATTAGAAAAAAGAGAGAAAAATGGAAATTAAAGGTATGATTTATGAAATAACTTTTTATGAGTAGGTGGGAGGTTTGGCTGATAGAAATCACAGAGATCAAACGTAACACAGAAAGAAGACAGCGTAGAGGACAAGGCTGGGGGAACTCGCCTCACTCACAGAAGCTCCATCAGGGAGAGTGGGAGGGAAAAAATTAAGAAATAACACGAAGACACTTCTCACAGCAGAAAAACCACCCAAGCATGAAGGCAAAAAAAAAGGGGTTTTCAAGAACATTAAAGCCTTGAAGAGCTTGTTCCCAACATATATTTCCTTGGTCAGCTTTGGAACAATGAGAGTGAAACCTGAGAAAGAATACACTTTTAGATTAAACCTGGAGATCGATAAAAGAGATTTAGAGGATGACTTGAGCAGGAGGCCTAGAAAAAGGTGGGTCCAAATCCCAGCAAGACGTTAAAGTACTGAGGACAGAACCAAATGGGTTCAGAGCAAGAAAGAGGAGATATAATGAGCTGAAAAACATCATGGACTTGATTAAGGACACAGTTTTAAACATTCTTATAATAAGAAAAGGCAACCAGAAACTCTAGGAAAAAAGTAGTAATTGTATGAGAAAGCCGTGATTTGAATATGAAACAAGCAAAAACGTGATGAAGTTTAAGGGAAGGAAGAAAGGGGGATAAGGGGGAAAAAGGGGGAGACTGAGAGAAAGGAGAGAGGGAGAGAAGGCGAGAGCCAAGTTGTCATGAAAGGACACATCCCCCCCCCTTACTTCCAAAAACACATAGGGAAAGAGAGAGGAGGAGGTAGGATCAAGATGTAAATATTCTTTGCTTGACCGTAGTCTGTATCTGACTGTTAATGAGTCACATTATAAATGGTGATTGGGCACAAAATAGCTGAAAATGTGGACCTGCACAAGCTCACTCTGGATAGTATCATGATCTTCAAGCTAGGTTCTCTGGAGCCCTGAGACCCTATGGAGGCGCCTCAAGGTTTCTGGAAATATTTACCTCCAATATTTTAGTTCCTTTGAATTTGAAAATGGTAATAAAAGTCACACACTCAAATGACTATTAACAAAATTTTAACTCTTAGAGACTACCGTTGTGTTAATTTATGTGTCCTGTTTAACTCCTTTTTGCATGGAAGTTAAACTAAAGCCTCTCTGGCCATGAATTTGCACGCATTTGAATCTCTTATAAAGGAGTCACCAAATGAGATTTCAGCTTTGCATTGCTTTTAAAAAATTAAAGTCTGTCCCTCCAATTACATGGCATCTAACCCGCACCAGACGTGGGATGCGTTCCCCCATCAATCACCCTCAGTAGCAGCAACATAGAAAGCATGGTCTATAGTCTGGGCACAGTGGCCCACACCTATAATATTAGCACTTTGGGAGGCCCAGAGGGGAGGATCATTTGAAGCCAGAAGTTTGAGACCAGACTGGGCAACAAAGCAAGACCCCATCTCTACAAAAACAAAACACTGACAAAATTAATCAGTGCAGTGACATAAGCTTATGTTTCCAGCTACTCAGGAGGCTGAGGCAGGAGGATTAGTTGAGCCCAGGAGTTTGAGGCTGCAGTGAGCTATGTTTGCACCACTGTCCTCCAGCCTAGGAGACAGAGCGAGACCCTGTCTCTAATAAAATAAAATAAAAACATAAATATTTTTGAAATAAAAATAAATTAAAAATTAAGAATAGTGTGGTTTGATGCATGTTATGGGGAACAAAGTTTTGCTTATTTTAAGCTTGGGTTTCTTCCTGTCTGATTTTCATATTTATAATCAAGACTGAGCATCTGTTAGATCAGTGATTCAACTCTGAAAAAAAAAAAGTTCCTACAAGCCTTTCTTTCAAGCATTTGGATCAATTTAATTGAAGAGACTCTTGAGATCACAAGGCAAACAGGTAAAAACAAGATAAAAAAACTGTTGCTATTAGCAACAGCTTACCTGTGACTCAGTGATTTGTGACTCAGTGATTTCTGAATGTTTTTCATCCAAACAGAATATTGAGCTACATGAAATTGTAACACATAAATGTTATCAAAATCCAAATCTTAATACCCATGATGGTAGTTTTACGCTTCTTTCCCATAGGCAAATTGATTTTATAAGTACATAGTATAAAAGTAAACTCTTGTAATGGATTTGTGCTAATACTACTTTATCTGTTTTGAGCATTAGGGGTGGAGATAAGATGAGTTTGAAGAAAGGCCCTGTTGCTGAAAACTGAGTTTGAAAACAGTGATCTGAGGTGGGAAATGAAGAACCTCGGAAATGTGAGTGGCCAGAACCCCTATGAGGACCTCAGTGGCCACAGCACCGGCGCAGCTTCCCCGGGGATGCCCGACAGATGCCAGCCAACAGTGACCCCATCACCAGTGCTGGGCAGCCCTGTGCTGGCAAACACCCATAACCGTGGAAACAGGGGTAGGGCTGCAGGGATTCATTCTCCTCCTCACTCCTCTTCTGTGTGTAAACTGTTCTGTATTAAATAGTCTGAAAATGGCCAAATATATTCTTTATTTTGACTACTGGAAGACACAGTACATCCACAGTTTGTGAAGATGCCGGCCTGTGGCCTCTCCGTCCTTGCAGGAGCTGCCTTTATCTGGCTGCCTTTGTCCTCCCCCAGCCAGCAATGACTGGGGCTCACTCTTGGTGTGAGGAGAGCTCTGAGCCCTACCCTCACCACGGAGGGGGTGACTGGGGCAAATGTAACTCAAACATGTAGGACGCAAGCTACGTGTCCTTAGCGGGGGTAGGAGGAGGAGAGGTGTCTGCATAGGCTTTAAAGGATAGCCAGAGCTCCCAAAGACGGAAACGGATGTGGACAGGCCCCTGGCGGAGGGCATGGTGGGATCACACACTTGGAGATAAGCCAGAACGAAGGAGGCTCCAGGAAGGTCTGGCTTGCCTGGATCATGGTGTTTGCTTACACCATGTTGCCCTAAGCAGTGAGGCTGAAAGAGGGCTTGGGAGCAAACCACTGCTTGGCCCCCCAGGCAGGATTCAGAAGCCCAATCCTTATGGGATTACAAGCTGTGCTTTCAGACGTCAATGGCAGTATAGGCAGGGGGAGCCCATGGGGCACAGGTGGACCCTGTGGGTGGGTCTGAGATCACACCTTTCCTTCCTCCACATCCCCTAGGATCCTCACACAATGGTGCCTGGTCTCATTCCTGCAGAGCTGCTGGCCCTGGAACAAGAGCCCTCTGATCCTAGGCTCAGCCTTGCCTCCTGCCTCAGTCAGCTCTGTAGCATTGACCTCTACGGCTGAGCACGGGAGGCCTCAACACTGAGCCAGAAAAGAAGAGAGTGATTGTGCCTCCACAGAGAAAGCATCATCTGACCCAGAAGCCCGGCTCTTATAACCTTGAGAGAAAAAGCCAGGGGTCCAGCCATCAAAGAAGTCCAGCAAGACCAACTCCCAATAGGGCACGTGTTCACCAGAATGAGCCTCTGCATTCAGGTAAAGATGAATAATAATAAAATAACAATAAGAAGAAGAAATCCAGGCACTCTGTCCTGCTGCAAAGAAAATGCTTCGCATGGGTTCAGGATGACCCTAAATAGTAAGGTCTCATGTGAAATCAATCCCATTCCCTCTGAGCTCTCAGCAACCTTGAAAGACTGAGAGAGAGAAGGGCAAGAGAGATGAAGATGAAATCTATCCAAAAAGGAAGGGAGGAGGAAGGATGATGCTCATCTATCTGATCTAAGGTGTCATTTACTTTAAATCTCTGAAGAAAGGGGAAAAAAAGCTGCCAATTCCCCAATTCCATGTGAAGACACCACTGACGGAAGCAATGCCCAGATTGCAGAGGGAAAGCAAGGCTGTTGAGAATGGGTAAATTTTCTGAACAGAAGACAGAGGGAGAGACACACCCTGTCATAAATCTTTTTAGTTATATATTTTATTCTAAAATGTTGAGGGTCTGCAATCAGCAATGTGGCTTGTCATAGTCCATGACCAAAAAAGTCTTGAGTAGAATCAAACTTTTATGGTCATTTCTACCTGCCAGAGATTCCAGGAAGCAGAATTCTGAGGTACCAGGAGGAGGCTTCCAGAAAAATGCATTCAAGAATATTTCCTTTTTTTAAAAAAAGAAAATATTTACTTATTTATATTATTTGTTTATTTATTTATTTTGAGACAGGGTCATGCTTTGTCACCCAGGCTGGAGTGCAGTGGTGCGATCGTGGCTCACTGGAGCCTCAAACTCTTGGGCTCAAGCCATCCGCCTTCCTCAGCCTCCTGGCAGCTAGGACTGCAGGCACGTGCTATCTGTTCATATTTTGATTTTTATTTTAGATTCAGGACATACATGTGCATGTTTGTCACATGGGTATATCGCATGCGATGCAGAAGTTTAGGGTATAATTGATTCCATCACCCAGGCAGTGAGCAGAGTATCCAGTAGTTTTTCAATCCTGGCCCCCTTCTCCTTTCCCCCTACAGTAGTCTCCAGTGTCTGTTGTTGCCATCTTTATGTCCATGAGTACCCAGTGTTTAGCTCCCACTCAGAAATCTTTTCTTTAGCCACTAGTTGGCATATTAAATTGAATGTAACATGGGATATTATAACAACTGGATATGGCATAGGATGGATTACAGCAAAGCTATAAGTAACATGGGAGAAGATTAACACAGCAGATATCCAGTTTCTGGACTCCCTATTTTTGTTCCTTGTGTTACATGTCTATCCCTGACCCAGCAAAACATCATCTTAATCCTTACAGCATTATGAAAGTGTTGCATTTGGCACAGAAAGTCCCCCAACTTGGTTCTTTTTCTTTAAAATTGTCTTGTTTTACTATTCTTGCTCATTACTGATCCTTTGCTCATCATTGTAAATTTTAAATTTACTTGTACAGTCTCATGAAGTCCCTGTTAAGACTTTAGTTGGAATCACATTAAATTTAGTTGGAATCACATTAATCACACTCAATTTATTTTGGAAAAATTTGGCATCTGGTATTGAGTTTTCCCAGGCATAAACGTGATACAACTCAACATTTATGTTGTTCTTTCTTAAATTTATTTTTTGGTACTCAACACCTGCAGATATTGAAAATAAAATTTGTGAAATTACATTTTCTAACTGTCTGTTGTAAGAATATAGAAACACATTTGATACTTCGATAGATCTTGTTTTGTATCAGATATATTTTTTCTAGACAGTCTCTAGGGATTTTCTATGTAAAAAACAGATATGGCCTATAAAGATGATAACAGGTTTATTCCTTATTCATAAACATTTTATTATTTTACTTGTATTACTACTGAAATTCATATAGTCACTAAGATATTTTTAAAAAGTGATGACACTGATATTCTTATTTTATTCTACGTTTAGAAACTTCTAATGTTTCAGCATTAAGTGAGACCCCTATGTCAGGTTAGGTGAAACTTCTTCCAATTACAAATGGGTTTTAAATAACATCAACTGATTTTTCTCCAGCTACCAGAATGATCATTTATTTTTTTCTGCCTCAATCTTTTAATAGAATGAATTATATTAATGGACTTTTTTGAAAGTTAAACAAACTGTGCATTCCTAATAGAAGCCTAAACTTGTTAGGATTTATTTTTAACTTATTGCTAGACTTTGTTATGCTGATATTTTAGTTAAGACTTATACATAGGAGTTGCTTCCAAGATGGCCGAATAAGAACAGCTCTGGTCTGCAGCTCCAAACGAGATCAACGCAGAAGATGGGTGATTTCTCCAACTGAGGTACCTGGTTCATCTCATTGGGACTGGTTGGACAGTGGGTGCAACCCACGGAGGGCAAGCCAAAGCAGGGTGGGGCGTCGCCTCACCCAGGAAGTGCAAGGGGTTGGGGGATTTCCCTTTCCTAGCCAAGGGAAGCTGTGACAGACTGTACCTGGAAAAACAGTACACTCCCGCCCAAATACTGCACTTTTCAACGGTCTTAGCGATCAGCAGACCAGGAGATTCCCTCCTGTGCCTGGCCCAGTGGGACCCACACCCACGGAGCCTTGCTCACTGCTAGCACAGCAGTCTGTGATCGATCTGTGAGGCTACAGCCTGGTGGTGGGGAGGGGTGTCCGCCACTGCTGAGGCTTGAGTAGGTAAACAAAGCGGCCAGGAAGCTCGAACTGAGTGGAGCCCACCACAGCTCAGCAAGGCCTACTGCCTCTATAGACTCCACTTCTGTGGGCAGGGCATAGCTGAACAAAAGGCAGCAGACAACTTCTGCAGACTTAAACATCTCTGTCTGACACCTCTGAAGAGAGCACTGGTTCTCCCAGCACGGCGTTCAAGCTCTGAGAATGGATAGACTGCCTCCTCAAGTGGGTCCCTGACCCCCGTGTAGCCTGACTGGGAGACATCTCCCAGTAGGGGCCAACAGACACCTCATACAGGTGGGTGCTCCTCTGGGACAAAGCTTCAAGAAGAAGGATCAGGCAGCAATGTTTGCTGTTCTGCAGCCTCTGCTGGTGATACTCAGGCAAACAGGGTCTGGAGTGGACCTCCAGCAAACTCCAACAGACCTGCAGCTGAGGGGCCTTACTGTTAAAAGGAAAACTAACAAACAGAAAGGAATAGCATCAACATCAACAAAAGGGACATCCACACCAAAACCCCATCTGTAGGTCACCAACATCAAAGACCAAAGGTAGATAAAACCACAAAGATGAGGAGAAGAGCAGAAAAACTGAAAATTCCAAAAACCAGAGCACCCCTTCTTCTCCAAAGGATCGCAGCTCCTTGCCAGCAATGGAACAAAACTGGATGGAGAATGACTTTGACGAGTTGACAGAAGTAGGTTTCAGAAGGTCGGCAATAAGAAACTTCTCCAAGCTAAAGGAGCATGTTCGAACCCATTGCAAGGAAGCTAAGAACCTTGAAAAAAGGTTAGATGAATGGCTAACTAGAATGAATAGTATAGAGAAGACCTGAAATGACCTGATGGAGCTGAAAACCACAGCATGAGAACTTCATGACACATGCACAAGCTTCAATAGCCGATTCGATCAAGTGGAAGAAAGGATATCAGTGTTTGAAGATCAAATTAATGAAATGAAGTGAGAAGACAAGATTAGAGAAAAAACAGTAAAACGAAACAAACAAAGCCTCCAAGAAATATGGGACTATGTGACAAGACCAAATCTATGTTTGATTGGTGTACCTGAAAGTGATGAGCAGAATGGAACCAAGCTGGAAAACACCCTTCAGGATATTATCCAGGAGAACTTCCCCAACCTAGCAAGGCAGGCCAACATTCAAATTCAGGAAATACAGAGAACACCACAAAGCTACTCTTCAAAAAGAGCAACCCCAAGACACATAATTTTCAGATTCACCAAGGTTGAAATGAAGGGAAAAAATGTTAACAGCAGCCAGAGGGAAAAGTCGGGTTACCCACAAAGGGAAGCCCATCAGACTAACAGTGGATCTCTCGGCAGAAACCCTACAAGCCAGAAGAGAGTGGGGGCCAATATTCAACATTCTTAAAGAATTTTCAACCCAGAATTTCATATCCAGCCAAACCAAGCTTCATAAGTGAAGGAGAAATAAAATCCTTTACAGACAAGCAAATGCTGAGAGATTTTGTCACCACCAGGCCTGCCTTACAAGAGCTCCTGAAGGAAGCACTTAACATGGAAAGGAACAACTGGTACCAGCCTCTGCAAAAACACGCCAAATGGTAAAGACCATCGATGCTATGAAGAAACCACATCAATTAACAGGCAAAATAATCAGCTAGCATCATAATGACAGGATCAAGTTCACACATAACAATATTAACCTTAAATGCAAATGGGCTAAATGCCCCAATTAAAAGACACAGACTAGAATATTGGATAAAGAGTCAAGACCCATCAGTGTGCTGTATTCAGGAGACCCATCTCACATGCAGAGACACACATAGGCTCAAAATGAAGGGATGGAGGAAGAGCTACCAAGCAAATGGAATGCAAAAAAAAAGCAGGGGTTGCAATCCTAGTCTCTGATAAAACAGACTTTCAACCAACAAAGATAAAAAGAGACAAAGAAGGCCATTATATAATGGTAAAGGGATTAATTCAACAAGAAGAGCTAACTATCCTAAATATATATGCACCTAATACAGGAGCACCAAGATTCATAAAGCAAGTCCTTAGAGACCTACAAAGAGACTTAGACTCCCACAAAATAATAATGGGAGACTTTAACAGCCCACTGTCAATATTAGATCAACGAGACAGAAGGTTAACAAGAATACCCAGGATTTGAACTTAGCTCTGCCCCAAGTGAACCTAATAGGTATCTACAGAACTCTCCACCCCAAATCAACAGGATATGCATTCTTCTCAGCACCACATTGCACTTATTCTAAAATTGACCAAATAATTGGAAGTAAAACACTCCTCGGCAAATGTAAAAGAACAGAAATCACAAGAAACTGTCTCTCAGACCACAGTGCAATCAAATTAGAACTCAAGATTAAGAAACTCACTCAAAACTGCACAACTACATGGAAACTGAACAACGGGCTCCTGAATGACTACTGGGTAAATAACGAAATGAAGGCAGAAATAAAGATATTCTTTGAAACCAATGAGAACAAAGACACACAACGTACCAGAATCTCTGGGACACATTCAAAGTAGTGTGTAGAGGGAAATTTATAGCACTAAATGCCCACAAGAGAAAGCAAGAAAGATCTAAAATTGACATCCTAACATCGCAATGAAAAGAACTAGAGAAGCAAAAGCAAATAAATTCAAAAGCTAGCTGAAGGAAAGAAATAATTAAGATCAGAGCAGAACTGAAGGAGATAGAGACACAAAAAAACCTTCAAAAAATCAATGAATCCAGGAACGGGTTTTTTGAAAAGATCAACAAAATAGACAGACCGCTAGCAAGACTAATAAAGAAGAAAACAGAGAAAAATCAAATAGACGCAATAAAAAATGATAAAGGGGATATCACCACCGATCTCACAGAAATACAAAATACTGTCAGAGAATACTATAAACACCTCTATACAAATAAACTAGAAAATCTAGAAGAAATGGATAAATTCCTGGACTCATGCACCCTCCCAAGACTAAACTAGGAAGAAGTTGAATCTCTGAATAGACTAACAACAGGTTCTGAAATTGAGGCAATAATTAATAGCCTACCAACCCAAAAAAGTCCAGGACCAGACAAATTCACAGCCGAATTCTGCCAGAGGTACAGAGGAGCCGGTACCATTTCTTCGGAAACTATTCCAATCAATAGAAAAAGAGGGAATCCTCCCTAACTCATTTTATTAGGCCAGCATCATCCTGATACCAAAGCCGGGCAGAGACACAACCAAAAAAGAGAATTTTAGACCAATATCCCTGATGAGCATTGATGCAAAAATCCTCAATAAAATACTGGCAAACAGAATCCAACAGCACATCAAAAAGCTTATCCATCATGATCAAGTTGGCTTCATCCCTGGGATGCAAGGCTGGTTCAATATATGCAAATCAATACATGTAATCCATCACATAAACAGAACCAATGACAAAAACCACATGATTATCTCAACAGATGCAGAAAAGGCCTTCGACAAAATTCAACAGCCCTTCATGCTAAAAACTCTCAATAAACTAGGTATTGATGGAACGTATCTCAAAATAATAAGAGCTATTTATGGCAAACCCCCAGCCAATATCATATTGAATAGTCCAAAACTGGAATCATTCCCTTTGAAAACTGGCACAAGACAAGGATGCCCTCTTCACCACTCCTATTCAACATAGTGTTGGAAGTTCTGGCCAAGGCAATCAGGCAAGAGAAAGAAATAAAGGGTATTCAAATAGGAAAAGAGGAAGTCAAATTGTCCCTGTTTGCAGACGACATGATTGTATATTTAGAAAACCCCACTGTCTCAGCCAAAAATCTCAAGCTGATTAAGCAACTTCAGCAAAGTCTCAGGATACAAAATCAATGTGCAAAAATCACAAGCATTCCTATACACCAATAACAGACAAACAGAGAACCAAATCATGAATGAACTCCCATTCACAATTGCTACAAAGAGAATAAAATACCTAGGAATCCAATTTACAAGGGATGTGAAGGACCTCTTCAAGGAGAACTACAAACCACTGCTCAAGGAAATCAGAGAGGACACAAACAAATGGAAGAGCATTCCATGCTCATGGATAGGAAGAATCAATATCGTGAAAATGGCCATACTGCTCAAGGTAATTTACAGATTCAATGCCATCCCCATCAAGCTACCAATGACTTTCTTCACAGAATTGGAAAAAACTACTTTAAAGTTCATATGGAAACAAAAAAGAGCCCGCATAGCCAAGACAATCCTAAGCAAAAACAACAAAGCTGGAGGCATCACATTACCTGACTTCAAACTACACTACAAGGCTACAGTAACCAAAACAGCATGGTACTGGTACCAAAACAGAGATATAGACCAATGGAAGAGAACAGAGGCCTCAGAAATAACACCACACATCTACAACCATCTGATCTTTGACAAACCTGACAAAAACAAGAAATGGGGAAAGGATTTCCTGTTTAATAAATAGTACTGGGAAAACTGGCTAGACATATGTATAAAGCTGAAACTGGATCCCTTCCTTACACCTTATACAAAAATTAACTCAAGATGGATTAAAGACTTAAACCTAAGACATAAAACCATAAAAACCCTAGAAGAAAACCTAGGCAATACCATTCAGGACATAGGCATGGGCAAAGACTTCATGACTAAAACACCAAAAGCAATGGCAACAAAAGCCAAAATATACAAATAGGATTTAATTAAACTAAAGAGCTTCTGCACAGCAAAAGAAACCATCATCAGAGTGAACAGGCAACCTAGAGAATGGGAGAAAATTTTTGCAATCTACCCATCTGACAAAGGGCTAATATCCAGAATCTACAAATAACTTAAACAAATTTACAAGAAAAAAACAACCCCATCAAAAAGTGGGCAAAGGATATGAAGAGACACTTCTCAAAAGAAGACATTTATGCAGACAACAGACACATGAAAAAATGCTCATCATCACTGGCCATCAGAGAAATGCAAATCCAAACCACAATGAGATACCATCTCTCTCACACCAGTTAGAATGGCAATCATTAAAAAGTCAGGAAACAACAGATGCTAGAGAGGATGTGGAGAAATAGGAATGCTTTTACACTGCTGGTGGGAGTGTAAACTAGTTCAACCATTGTGGAAGACAGTGGAAGATTTCTCAAGGATCTAGAACTAGAAATACCATTTGACCCAGCAATCCCATTACTGGGTATATACCCAAAGGATTATACATCATGCTACTATAAAGACATATGCACACGTATATTTATTGCGGCACTATTAACAATAGCAAAGACTTGGAACCAACCCAAATGTCCATCAATGACAGATTGGATTAAGAAAATGTGGCACACATACACCATGAGTACTATGCAGCCATAAAAAAGGATGAGTTCATGTCCTTTGCAGGCACATGGATGAAGCTGGAAACCATCATTCTCAGCAAACTATCACAAGGACAGAAAACCAAACACCACATGTTCTCATTCATAGACGGGAACTGAACAATGAGAACACATGGACACAGGGCAGGGAACATCACACACCGGGGCCTCTCGGGGGGTGGGGGGCTGGGGGTGGGATAGCATTAGGAGAAATATCTAATGTAAATGACCAGTTAATGGATGCAGCAAGCCAACATGGCACATGTATACCTAATGTAACAAACCTGCACATTGTGCACAGGTACCCTATAACTTAAAGTATAATAATAAAAAAGGCTTATACATTTATGTTCATAATGATATTTTATGCTGGGTGGAACTTGCCTGTAAACCTACCTTTTTGAATTTCTTTTTTAAAAATATACTGATCAAAAGAATGAAAAGATGACCTCCAGATTGGGAGAAAATATTTGCAAAAGACACATCTAATAATGAACTGTAATCCAAAATATACAAAGAACTCTTAAAACTCAGCAATAAGAAAACAAACAATCCAATTAAAATAATGGGCCAAAGACCTTAACAGACACCTGAGCAAAGACAATATAGAGATGGCAAAGAAGCACATAGAAATATGTTCCACATTGTCATATTTAATACAAATTAAAAAAAAAAAAAACTGAGACACCACTACGCATCTATTAGAATGACCAAAATCCAGAACACTGACAACACCAAATGCTGGCAAGGATGCAGAGCAACAGGAACTCTCATACACTGCTGGTGGGCATGAGAAATGGTGCAGTCACTTTGGAAGGCAGTTTGGCAGTTTCCTACAAAACGAAGCATACTCTTTCCATGTGATCCAACAATTGCCTTCCCTTGTATTTATCCAAAGGAGCAGAAAACGTGTGTTCACACAGAAACCTACATACATATGTTGATAGCAGCTTTATTCATAATTGCTAAAACTTGGAAGCAACCTTCAGTAGGTGAAATGGATAAACTAACTGTGCTATATCCAAACAATGGATTATTATTCAGTGCTAAAAAGAAATGGGCTATCAAGCCATGAAAAAAACATGGAGGAACCTTAAATGCATATTACCAAATGAAATAAGTCAATCTGAAAAGATTACAGACTGTAAGATTCCAATTATATGATATTCTAGGAAAAGTAAAGCAATGGAGACAGCAAAACAGATCAGGCCGGGCGCAGTGGCTCACGCCTGTAATCCCAGCACTTTGGGAGGCTAAGGCAGGTGGATCACCCGAGGTCAGGAGTTTGAGACCAGCTTGGCCAACATGACGAAACCCTGTCTCTACTAAAAATACAAAAATTAGCCAGGCGTGGTGGCGTGCACCTGTAGTCCCAGCCACTCAGGAGGCTGAGGTGGGAGAATCGCTTGAACCCGGGACGTGGAGGTTGCAGTGAGCCGAGATCGCACCACTGCACTCCAGCCTGGGCGACAGAGCGATACACCATCTCAAACAAAACAAAACAAAACAAAACAAAACAAAACAAAACAAAACAAAACATAACAGGTCAATGGCTGCCATGGATTGCAGAGAGAGGGCGGGATGAATAGGTGGAGCACCGAGGATTTTTAGGGCAGTGAAGCTATTCTGAATGATACTATAATGGTCGATACAGGTCATTATACATCTGTGCAAACCCACAGAACCCATACGCCACCAAGAGAGAACCCTGATGTAAACTATGGACTCTGGGTGGTAATGATGTGTCTGCATCAGTTCATCTATTTCAATTGTACGGCCCTGGTGGGGGATGTTGATGATGGGGGAGGCTGTGCTTGGGTGGGGGTTGGGAGGGGACATGGGAACTTGTACCTTCCACACAGTTATGCTATGAACCTCAAACTGCTTTAAAAAACAAAGTCTGTTTTTTTGCTAGTCTATTCCCTTTTTGGTCTATTTTTCTAGAAAATATTAAATCTATCTAAGTTTCCAAAATTTTGGCATAAAATTGTGTCACAATATTCTATTTTTAAGTATTTTTCTGTAGTTGAAAACCCCTTTTATATCCAGTAAATGTTTGTTTGTGCCTTCTTTGTTTTCTTGGTAATTATTTCCTGAGGTATGTTGATTTTATTAGTTCTTTTTTAAAACCAATTTGTCCTTCGTTGATCTCTATTTTAGTTTTCTTATTTAATACATTTCTAGGTTTATCTTTATTCCTCCTTCTTTTTTTCATTGGAGTTAATGTTATATTTTATAACTTCTTGAGTTTGGTAATTATCTCACACATTTTCCCAAAAAAGATATTAAAAGCCTTTAGGGTTTCCTAAAAAAGATGTCTATGCTGCTATCAACATATGTGTGTAGGTTTCTGTGTGAACACAGGTTTTCAGCTCCTTTGGGTAAATACTGAGGAGGACAATTGTTGGATCATATGGTAAAGATGCTTAGACAAGTATCTTTTCTAACATAAGCATTTAAAGGCTATGTATGTCTGCCTGCATTCCTATACATATGTGAGTGCATGTGTGCACACACACGTACACACACAAACTCACACCACACATGCTAAATGTTTTTATTCACATTTAGATATCCAGTTTTCCATATATTTATTTTCTAGTGGAATGAGGATGCATTTTTTCTATATCTGTATCTATATCTATATATTGGGTAAGACTTGTTAACTGTGTTGTTCAAAACTCCTACATACTTACATTTTTTTTCCCCTTGTTACACTATCAATTACTAAAAGAGGTACATTAAAATCTTCTACTGTAATTGTGGACTTATCCAGTAAACTTTAAATTCTACCAATTTTTCTTCAAAGCAATTTTATTAGATATATACATGTAAGATTTGTTATATATCCTTAGTTTTAAAAAATCACTATCACCTGACCTTATTTAACCTTAATTATACTTGTTTTTCTTACTGTGTTTGTGTGGGGGGGGTGGTGTTGTAAACATAGCCACTCACATTTTATTTTTGTTCCTGTTTTTGTTTTTCCTTTTTTGCGTTCATCCTTTACGTATATATGGTTTAGTTTCATCTAAACAGTCTATCGTTCGATTTAAATGCATAGAGATATACTGGGGAGATCTGTGTTTTAACCAGCTGGCCATCCCATTTACTTTTATCTTGTCTACTGTAATATTTGTTTTCATTTCTACCATCTAATGTTATGCTTTTGACTTCTTCCTCCTTGGATTGCATTTAGGTTTCTCCTGTTTTCTTTTTTTTTTTTTTTTTTTTTTTTTTTTTGAGACGGAGTCTCGCTCTGTCGCCCAGGCTGGAGTGCAGTGGCGGGATCTCGGCTCACTGCAAGCTCCGCCTCCCGGGTTCACGCCATTCTCCTGCCTCAGCCTCCCAAGTAGCTGGGACTACAGGCGCCAGCCACCACGCCCGGCTAATTTTTTTGTGTTTTTTAGTAGAGACGGGGTTTCACCGTGTTAGCCGGGATGGTCTCGATCTCCTGACCTCGTGATCCGCCCGCCTCGGCCTCCCACAGTGCCGGGATTACAGGCGTGAGCCACCGCGCCGGCCTTCTCCTGTTTTCTTCATCCCTTCCCCATTCGACCCCTACTTGTTTGGAAGTTAAATATAGTATTCTTAATGTGTCTGGTCTGGTGGTTATTCTCACACTTTAACCTTGTATATTTCACTTAAAGCTGACGTCTCCATGGCCTTCCAGAGTCATATAAGTACACCTGAGGGTTTTACCTCCAAGCACTGTCCAAGTTACTATTTCATGCTATATTTTCCAGTATTTTAATTCCATCTTTTTTTTTTTTTTTTGAGATGGAGTCTTGCTCTGTCACTCAGGTTCCAGGTTGGAGTGCAGTGGTGCTATCTCAGCTCACTGCAACCTCTGCCTCCTGGGTTCAAGCGATCCTCCTGCCTCACCCTCCCAAGTAGCTGGGACTACAGGCACACGCCACCACGCCCGGCTAATTTTTGTATTTTTAGTAGAGATGGGGTTTCACCATGTTGGCCAGGCTGGTCTCGAACTCCTGACCTCAGGTGATCTACTTGCCTTGGCCTCCCAAAGTGCTGGGACTACAGGCATGAGCCCCTGCGCCCTGTCCCACTTTGTTTTTAATACTCTCAAATTCATCATTATTATTTTATATAACCAAATCTGTTTACATGTACCTGAATCTTTGCCAATTGCTTCGCTCACTGCTTCTCATGCCTAGTTCCTAAACGTCTTCTGGTAGTTTTTTAAAATAGTAGCACAGCCCCTGCACGGTAAACTCCTTTAGTATATGTTTTCCCGAGAATGTCTTGATTTTGCCCATCAGGTAAAGAATGGTTTAGCTCAGGATAAAACTCTAGGTTGACAATTATTTCCTTTCATACTTAAAAGACGTTATTTTCGTTTATTTTTCTGGCTTCTACTGTTGCCTTTAAAAGGTCTGCAGTCAGTCTAATTGCCATCTCTTTGTTAGCAAGCTATCTATTTTTCTCTCATCGCTTCTAGGATCTTTTTTTGGCTTTGGACATTCCTGCAGCTTTTTTGCACAATATGTCTTGGGCTCATTTCCTATCACATATCTTTCCTCAGACTTTTATCTCCTGAAGCTGAGGATGTATGTTTTTCATCAATATTATTACATCCTCAGCTGTTCTTTTGGGACATGGCTTCTGTTGAAAAAAATCATTGTATTTCAATGGAAAACGATGTGTCCCCTACAGCACATAGATCTCACTTAGCAAGTCTCGCCCTGTTCACTGTCTGAGCTGCTTTGCCACTGTGCGCGGACCGTAAGCAGCTGATAGATGCGGAAGTTCTCAGTCGCCCAGTAGTGATTTAATTGGTAGTGCCTTGACTTCCTGCCCCTTTAGATAAACAAGTTCTGTGTCCATTTAGAATTCATCTCGAAATTCCTTTACTCTATATAAATTTGTACTAGTTTGACTTTCCCATTGAACTGAGAACATCTGCTTTGTTTCCTCATGTGATATGAGTCAAATAGATTCTTCAACATGCTCATTTTTATATCTGTATGTGAGCCATAACTTTACCTGTTTTCTGAAAATAATCTTTTAATATTTCTCCCACATGCAATTTATTATTGCCTTCTACTATTCTAGCCAGTGTGTATGGGAGCACCTATCCCCGGCATGAGAGGAAGCAGCCCTCCTTGTCAGGCACAGCCTCTCCTGGGGGGTGCAGGCTTCCAGACCTGCTTTCTGCATGACCTTGGCCACAGTGTGCTCCAGCTGTCATATCTGAAAATAATCACAGCGCTTTCCTCAGAAGGTTGTTAATATATGTAAAGCATTTGAAACAGGACCTGGTGCACAGAAGCACTACAGAAGTGTTGGATATTATTGCACGACCGTAAATCATTCTTTCCTACTTTCCATCTATTTAGCTTTCTATGATTCACGCAGGAAACTGCCTCTGCTCCTTCAACTGTGTCTCATCTGACATTCTATGCCTCCACTGTCTTTAATTTTGATGGCTATATTATTTCTCATCTCTCTTAATTTTACTTGATTCTTTTCAAAGTTGCTTTTTAAAGGGTTTCTCTCATTTGTGTTTTTAATTCTTACTTGAGTGTAATTATTTTCAAATCATTTGTCAGTTTCTATTGTCTTAAGTGTTTAAGAGTCCAAACCTGCCTTTTGCTATGTTTGTGAATGCTTGCTCAAAGTGAGATGTTTCTGTATGTGTTTTAATTTGAAGTTCATTTTTAGCTGATTTTTAAAAATTGAGTTTCCATATTATTTCTTATAGTGTTTCATTCCTCATACAGTTTTCATCTGTAATGTTTTCTTAAAAAAATTAATGAAGGCTAAATGGCACAAGAGCTTAAAAATATAGATGCAGGCCAGGTGTGGTGGCTCACGCCTGAATCCCAGGAGTTTGGGAGGCCGAGGAGGGCGGATCACCTGAGGTCAGGAGTTCAAGACCAGCCTGGCTAACATGGTGAAACCCCATCTCTACTAAAAACACAAAAATTAGCCGGGAATGGTGGTGGGCACCTGTAATCCCAGCTACTCAGGAGGTTAAGGCACAAGAATTGTTTGAACTTGGGAAGTGAAGGTTGCAGTGAGCCGAGATCCCGCCACTGTACTCTAGCCTGGGAGACAGAGCCAGACTCAGTCTCAGAAAAAAAAAAAACACACAAAAAAACCCACATGTAGTCACAGGGGTGGGACAGGATGGATGTGGAGGGAGGAGGACGCAGGAGAGAAAGGGGCAGAGCCCTTGGCTGCCCTCTCACAGCATTGCCTGCACACCTGGCCTCACACCTGGACACTTATCAGAGCATGGAATATTTGTCAGGCTGCAGAAAACCCATGTCTCAAACCCCAATCACCATCTGCAGAGCATGTTCATGGCACATGAACCTTGCTGACTGGACATACTGGAATGAATCCCCAACCTGTGTTGCTACCGTGTCTATGGAGATCCTGTGGACCTGGCCGGAGGGGGACTTCTCTCCAGGTGCCCTGCACTCCATTCTGCCAGGTGCCCAGAGCCTCACAGATCAGACCACTTTGCATGCCACTACAATTGGTGCTGGAATTTCCTGGGTTCTGCTGGACATATCAAACCAGCACCAGGAGGCACCCCTTCCCTCATCTGTTGTGAATTCCCATGGAAGACTCTGAGCCCTGACTGAGCACAGCCTAAAACAGTCATGCTTCTTTTTCATCGTCTTGCACTGGATGGTAGATTTTATTTTTTTCAATTCCAACTTCTCAGGGAGAATGCAGCATTTTGAAGGTCCTGGCCTTCTCAGTTCCAACCCACCTCGTACAGGGCAAGAGGGCAGAAGCACGAGTTTTACTCCCGCCTTCTTGGGTAATGACTTTTGCGACCCAGGATGGTTGACTGAACTCCCAGGGCCTCGTGTGGGAGAGAGCTGGGCTCCACGGGCCCCACCCTCCTGCCTGCTTATAGCTTGTAGCCTGGGCATTCCTTCTAACAGTTTTACGTAGCCTAGATAAATGGACGTGAAGGAGCTCATGAAATTTTTTAAAAAGTATGTCCATTTCTAAACTATGTGACCTGTTATGCCTTTTCTGGCTCCAGATGTATGAAACAAAAGAAAAAGGAAGCTAATTATCCCCAGCAGTGGAAGGAGAAGATGTTCTGACACTGGGATTACTATGCACACAAGGACTATTCATCATGGGTGGAAATTCATCCCTATGAGGAAAGGGTCACTTGGAGACACAAAGGTGAAGGGAACAACATTGCACCCTGCCAGCTCGTCCCCCAGTGACAATGCTGACTGGGCAAACAGCCAGCCTTGAGAGCCTCCTACACAATCGGATGCCCAAAGTCCACACCAGAGGTTCATTGAAAAATGATCAGGCTGATTTTTTAAAGAGCTTTTCCTTCAGATTGAGTGAAGAAATTGACCAACCTTAATCTGAATAAATATAAAGTCTAAATAAACTAAGCATATGCTTTCAGAAAAATGCCACTTGCTATGACAGCATAAATACAAGAAAAACGATAAGGAGGTAATACAGCTAAAAACGATAAGCAAGAGCTGACCAGGGTTAAATCAGGTCACAGGGGTAGGGCCCTATTCTGATAGGACTGGTGGCCTTATAGGAAGAGGGAAGCCAGCACGTGCCCCTCTCTCTCCCTCTCCCACTCCCTCTCTCTTTCTCTCTGCCATGTAAGGACACAATGAGAAGGAAGCCATAAACCAGAGAGAGTTCTCTTCAGGGAACCAAATCCAGACCCTTGATCTTGAACTTCTCAGCTCCCAGAATTGTGTGAAAATAAATTTCTATTATTTAAAGCCTCCCAGTCTATGGTATTTTGTTATGACAGGCTGACCTGAGTAATCATTATTACTCTTGCTAAATATGACTAAGAAGTCTTCACATAATCCATAAATAAACATAAGAAGGCTGTCAACAGTTCAGAGAAGAAGGCAGAAGGGATCACACCTTTGTGACAGGCAGAACGGCATGGTGCTGACATCCCTAGGTTTACTATTTATCTTACCTATTCCAAACTGGGTTCTGGAGAAGAATGCACCAAAAAAACCCCAACAGGTACAGACCAAAGAAGTCCTGAGGAAAGCTTGCCCTCTCTCGCCAAATGGTCAGGAGAGAAGCAGCCTGACAGCTGGACCGTGTCTAGCCAAGAGCGCTGCCCCAGGGAAACACCAAAGGAAAAAGCTGGACTCCACCAGCAGCCTCATCAGCAAAGGCCCAGGGAGCACTCTAGATTCAAACATCCCCAGGCAAAAGGGAGACACTCCTCCCCATACTTGCAAGAGGTGATGTCAGAGAAGGCCAAGCAGTGACCTCATCTTGACCCAGCCGCCTCCTGCTGTTTCAGTGGAGAACACTTGGGGAGCCTGGACTTCCACTCCCACCTAGCAGTACCAAGGTCCCCATCCCTCCCAGGTGTCAACAGAGGCTGAGTGGGGGGCCTGAACCACACGACAGCAGGGGTGGTGTCCTCCCTCCTCTGCTAGCACAGTGTCAGAGGAGGTCTAGTGAAAAGGAACACTGAAATAAGACTTGGAGTCTCAAACAATAATACCCAAAATGTCCAGGATATAATTTTAAAAATCACTTGTAATACCAAAATCAAGAAAAAAACCTCAACTTTAATGAGAAGAGAAAATTAGCAGATGCCAAAACAGATAATTCAGAAAGTTGGAATTCTCTGGATTTTAAAACCTCAATCATAATAATGCTTTGGTAGGCAATTAAGAACATGTTTGAAACCAGTGAAAAAATAGAAAGTCTCAACAAATAAATAGAAGATATAAAGAAAAACTAAATGAAAATTTAGAACTGAAAAATACAGTAACTGGGATTACCAACATGTAGGCTGGGCTCAATAGTAGAGTGGAGATAGCAAAGGAAAGAATCTGACTTGAAGACAGAATAGAAATTATGCAATCGGAGCAACAAAGGTAAAATAGACCAAAAAAAAGAAAAAAAATCGACACAGCCTGCAGGGGTGTGAAGCCATAACAAAATCTGATATTTGTGTCATGAGAGTCTCAGAAAAAGAAGAGAAAGAAAATGAGAATGAAAAATGTTTGAAGAAATTATTAAAAATTTTCCAAATTTAGCAAAAGATATACATCTACAGATTCAAGAAGCTGAGTAAAACCCAAACCAGATAAATACAAAAAAATTAATGCCAAGAATCATCATAATCAAACATCTAAAAATTAAACACAAAGAGAAAATCTTGAAAGCAGCCAGAGAAAAATGATCCGTAAGGGGGAAAAACAAAACTAAACAACAACAACAAATTTAAATGACAGCAGAATTTTCAACAGTAACCACGGAGACCAGCAGGAGGTGGTATGACAGTTTCCGAATGCTGAAATAACTTACTGTACACTCAAAATTCTAAATCCAGTTAAAATATCTTTCAGGAATAATGAAGAAATGTCAAGACATTTTCAGATGAAGAAAAAACTAAGAGAAATAGTGACCAGCAGAATCACCCAAGAAGTATGGCTCAAGGAAGTTCTTGAAAGAGAGAAAAAAACAATAAAAGAAGGAAGAGAAAATTTATCTACTTTACTTGAACCAGTAAGATGTTTATATCAGTAGTCAGTAACGTAATAAGTTACATACATAAAATGTAATATCAAGAGCAACCATGAAATAGGTGTACAAAGAGACATACTCAAAAACACTATAAATAAAAAAGATTCTAAAAATTCTAAAAAAGAAATTCTAAAAAAAAGTTAAGTACATCATAGGCAGGAAAGAAAAAACGAAGAATATATATATATAATATATATATATCACAGACACACATACCCTGCAAACATTACTCAAAAAACACAAGAGTAACTATATTATTATCAGATAAAGCAGATCTTAGAGAAAAGAAAATTATGAAAGATAGATATAAATTTACATAATGATAAAAGCTCAGTCTACCAAGAAGATGCAGCAATCATAAATCCTTTCTCAAACAAGAAAGCTTCAAAATACATGACCCCAGAACTGATGGAAATTTTCAAAAGATATAGACAAGTTCACAACTATATTTGGAGGTTTCAACACTCCTCTCTCAATAATTCATGACAGGGCAACTAGACAGAAAATCAGCAAGGATATAAAAGAACTTACACCATCAAACAACAGGACTTAATTGGCATTTAGGAAACTGTCTACCAACAAGTACTCATGGAGCATATACCAAGATAGACCATATCCTGAGCCTAAGAAAAACCTCAATACATTTAAAAGAAGTGAAACCACACAAAGTGTGATATTTGCCCACAATGGAATCAAACTAGACATGAATAGCATTAAGATGACAAGAAAATCTCCAAACACTTGGAAACTGAATGCCAAATTGCTAAATAATCCATGAGTCAAAGAGAAAGTCTCAAGGAAATGGAAAAAAATACACTGAACTGAATAAAAATGCAATGTATCAATATGTATGACATGCTGGTAGTGCTAAGAATAAATTTATAGTACTGCTTATTTTAAGAAAGAGAAAAAGATTCAAGTCTATATCTATGCTCACTCGGTAAGAAACTAGAAAAGAGAAGACAAGCCCCACAAGTAGAAGGAAGTAAATAATAAATATAAAAGTATAAAATCACTGACACGGAGAAGAGAAAAAAAAGAAAAAAAAATCAATGAAATGAAAATCTTCTTTGAAAATATCAATAAAATTGACAAACTAATACCACGAATGTATTCTATGTGTCACTACACAGACATTGTAGACATCAAAAGAATGATGAGGAAAGCTATGAACAACTCTTTACATAGAAATTAACACATACATTTAGCAACTTAAATGAAATGCACCAATTCCTTGAAAAGTACAAACTACCACAACTCAACCAATAGGCTATAAATAAGCTGAAGATCCCTAAAACAATTAAACACATTGAGTTCATAATTTTAAATGTTTTTTAAAAAGGTATCTCCACATCCTGAATGGCTTCGCTGGGGAATTTTAACAAACATTTAAGGAAGAATTAATATCAATTCTATAACTGTCTCCCAGTAAATAAAAAAGGATAAAACACAGAGGCTTTTATTAACCTCATAACCAAAACTAGACAAAGACAGTAGAAAAAATTTATAAAATGCAAAACAAAAACTACAGACCACATTCTCTCATAAATATACATAAACCACCCTTAATAAAATATTGGCAATACAACTTAGCAGTATATATAAGGAATTACACACATGACCAAGTAGAGTTTGTTCCATGAGTGTAAAGCTAGTTCAATAATTGAAAACTGATCAATGTAATCTACCATATTAAGATGCCAAGGAAGAAAAATCACCTGATTATATCAATTGATGCAGAAAAAGCAAGTAATAACACTCAACACTCATCCATATTAAAAAGTCTCAGAAAACTGGAATAGAGGGAAACTTCCTCATCCTGATAAAAGCAATTCCACAAAAAACCTACAGCTAGCATCATACTTAATAGTGAAAGACTGGATGCTTTCGCCATAAGATCAGAAACAAGATAAAGTTGTTCACTTTTAACATTCTAATTCAGCATAATACTAGAAATCCTAGCCAGGAAAGTAAAGGAAGTAAGAGGCCTAGAAATCAGAAAGAAATTTAAAAAGTTACTATTTTCAGGTGACATGATGGTCTATGTGGAAAATCCAAAGGAATCTCAAAACAAAAACAATTAAAAAAAAAACTGCTAAACCTAATGAGTAAGTTCAGCAAGGTCAGAAATACAAGATCAACATAAAATAATTGCTATACTAACAGTAAACATGTGGTTACTGAAAATGCAGTATCATTTACAACTGGTCAAAAATGAAACAAATATAAATTTAACAAAACAAGCATAAATCTCACATGTTGAAAACTACAAAATACTGATGGAAAAATCATAGAAGATTGAAATAAGAGGGACATACCATGATCATGGATTGGAAGATTCAACATAATTGTCCCTGCGAGAACCTGTAGGCTTAACACAATTCCCATTAAAAACCCAGCAAGAGTTTTGTACATATGGATACACAAAGTCAGTCTGAAATTTATATAAACAAAGAAACTAAAATAGCTAAAACAATTTTGAAAAGGAACAATAAAATGGGAAGAAACACTCTACTCAATGTTAAGCATTACTATACGATGAAAGCAAAAGACTATAATAGAGGAAGAGATATCTAGATTAATAAAACAGAATTGAGAACCCAATAGTAGACCCACACAAATATACCCAACTGATTTTTTCAAAGCAATTCAGAAGAGGAATATAGTCTTCTCAATGAGTGGACCTGGAATAACTGAAAATCCACAGGCAAAAGGATAAACTTTGATGTAAATCTCAGATATCATACCAAAAATTGACATCAACTTAAAGAACAGACTTAAATGTAAGACTTAAAAATGTGAAACTTTTAGAACAAAACATAGGAGGAAATCTTCAGCACTCTAGGCTATGAGTTCCAAGACTTGACATCAAAAACACAATCCATCAAAGTAAAATTTGATAAAAAACTTCACTGTAATTTTTAAAAAGAACATGTTTACTCTGTGAAAGACCCTGTAAAGAAGATGAAGAGATAAACTACAGAAAGACAAACTATATTTTCAAAACACATATCTGACAAAAGGCATATCTAGCATAAAGAACTCTTAAATCTCAAGAGTAAAAATAAAACAAACAAAACCCCACACAATCTAACTAGAAAACGGGCAAACAGACATGAACATATATTTCAATGAAGAGGATATACAAGTGACGAACCACCACATAGTAAGATGTTCAACAGCATTAGCCACCAGGAGAATGTAAATTAAAAACACAATGGGTTATCACTACACACCTACTAGCGTGGCTAAAATAAAAAAAATAGTGATAACACCAAATTCTGGGGAGGATGCGGAATTACTTGATCACTTAGGTGGGAACGGCCACTCTGGAAAAGAGTATGGCAGTTTCTTATAAAATGAAGCATCTGCTTATTATACAACCTAACAATTGCGTGCTTATGTAATTTATACCAGACGAATGGAAACATCTTCAAAAACAAACAAACATGGACATGGATGTTATAGAAGCTATGATTGCAATAGCGAAAAACTGAAAACATCTCAAATATCTGTTAATGGATTAATAGTTACACAAATTGTGGCACATCCATACCACAGACCACTACTCAGCCACCCTCAAAAGGTTACAAACTATATTAGTCTACACATAAAATATTCTTGAAATGCCACAATGACAGAGATGGATTAGTGTTTGCCAGTAGTTAGGGACAAGCGGGATGTGGCTATAAGGGTATAGTGCAAGAGATCTTTACAGTCGTGGAACAGTTCTTTATCTTAATTTGTTGGTGGCTACATGAATCAATACATGTGATGAATTTGCTTAGAATTATATATACTACACAAAAATGCATGAATGTAAAACTGGTGAAATCTGAATAAACTTTGTGGAATATACCAATGTTAATTTCTTGGCTTTGATATTACACTAGAGTTATTTAAGGTGTTACTGCTGGGGAATATTAGGAGGAATATGAAAATGTACCTCCCTATAATTTTTTTTCCATTTCTTATGACCTATAATTATTAATCTGTTAGAAACATACTAAATCCAACAATGGTGAACTAGAAAGTATCATCTCTATGAATTATGTCACTATTAAAATGATGATGAGAAAAACCCATGGAAAACAGGATGAGTGAAAAATGCAGTCCGTCTAACCACATAAAATATATTAAGTAGATGGACTGAAGGAAGATATATAAAATGAAATTTAGCAGTTTAGGGAACGAGGAACAGAAATTAACCAATTTGACTGTGTCGTGGCTACCCATCTTGTTCTTTTGAAATACGAAGGCTTCTTTCTTTGCCTTGCCCTCAACCTGAAGTCAGCTTTCATAATAAATGAGGCAGAGTTCAACAAAGCCAAGATAAAGAGATTGTGTCAATGTAGACTTAAAAGTCAGAAATAAATGCAAACTACAAACTCAGATGCTACCTACCACAGGTCTTTATGAAGCCATGAACCCACTGGTAGGGACAAAACATTTAACTAGCTCATAGTCATAACCTTTAGAGGCACCATCTGGAAGTCAATAAAGTAGAATCCATACTACCTTCTGCTTACTAAGAACATCAAAGGAGCTATGTTACAGGCACAACATATTTTGCCTATTAACTACAAAATGCATAAGTAATTCTGTAGTGATTCACTAAAGTTCTCTAGCATTAATGCATCCCTGGGAAAATGAGAAGCACAAACTAGGTATCAGGGAGAAGCATTCATTTGTCAAAATGAAGTTCTGGATCATTTTTTTTTTTGCTATCAGCTACCAATGGTGAGAGCACTATTCATCATTCAGTTGGTTTTCTCTGGACAGCAGGAGGGAGACAAGCATGTAATTGAAGGAAGTGTATGGGCTGAAATTCATGACTTCCAGCCACCAAATACCTCCTAGTTTCCATCTAATTAAAGGAATGCAAGCTGGCATTCACGCCCAGCAGGACAGAGTCTTTCACAAGTGATCCAGGGGGACCATGTATGACCGATTCCTGAGCTGTACTCCACACCTGCTGTATCAGACCCTGAGGAGGTAAAGATGCAGTTTCCATTGTTAACAATCACTCGGCAGCTTCTTAGCCAGAGCAGATATTGGAACATCGAATCAGAAGAGCAAACCAGGCAAGCAGGATCTAGATCCTGCACATGGAGCCCAAAGCACTATCTAAGAACTCCCTGAGCAGCCTGAGAGTTTTTAAAGCTCTTTCCGATTGTCCCCTCTTGACCCCAGGAAGACTGCAGCGGAGCGTCTCTAGAGTCTACTAGGCAGCCCGGGCACAGCAGTTCTAAGTCCTTGACTCTGGGACCCCAGGCAGTAACCCTGCTGCTACTCCAGGCTTCCAACACATGGCCCAGCTGCAGGGGAAGGAGAGCTGGCAGACCCCACATGCTGCTTCCTGACTCTTTTACTCTTTCAGGTGCTTTGGTGAATTTTTATCGTTTTCCTCAGAAGGGTTTGGTGCATGGGCACCAGGTTGATTCTTTGGTATTTTATGGTTATCATCATGAGTGTAAATGAGGTCTGTTCTTTCCATTTCACTTCACTGTTCTTCACTCACACCTAGCTCAGCTATTGTCTTCTTTCTTAAATCTTTTATTAGTTCAAAGTTTGTCAGCTGCGTCTGCCTTTAGGTGACTAATCAACTGGAAGTAATGATAGTGTTTTTTCTTTCTCGTAATATTTAGATATCTTTCTTTAACTTGCTGTCATAGGGCTCCGGCTAGGGCATCCACCCGGCAGTTGAAAGCAGTGATAGCTGTTGTCTTAGTCAGTTCTGGCATTTATCTTCCACAGTTCTGGAGCCTGTAAGTCCAAGATCAAAGCACCCACGGATCTGATGTCTGGGGAGGGCAACTGTCCTGGTTTGCAGATACACATCTCCTCCTTGTGTCCTCAGATGGCCAAATAAGCAGAGACAGGAAGAAAGCCCTTGTGTCTCTTCTTATAAGGACACTAATCCCATTCATGAAACTCCACCTTTATGACCCAATCCCCTCCTAGAGGCCCCACCTTCTAATTCCATCACCTTGGGGGTTAGGATTTCAACATACTAATTCTCGAGGGGACACAATCATTCAGTCCTAACATTTCTCATCTTTGCCTTATCTCTGACTTTGAGGTGGATTCACCTGACTTTTCAACAGTCAGCTTTGTTTGCCAGTTTTCTTCTGAGTAATATTTATCTGCTTATGAATTTTCTTCCAGTCTTAGTTTATTTTTTGTGAATATTACTACTTTTGGGAAATATTTGTTAGATACAAATCTTTCTATATATCTTCTGGGTTAGTTTTAACCACTGTTTTATTTCATTCCATGTAAGCATACTTACCCTTTCTTGAGATCCTGGTTTTTGTTAATTTCTCCTTTGACTTTCATCAGCATTGACTGTATTTTTTGCAGTCACACTGCAACATAATTATTCATGAGCACTTTGTTTTCTCAATAAATTTTCCTTTAATCAATATAAAATATTCATTTTGTCCCTTTTTACGTATTTTGTCTTTCATCTATATTTGTGAAATAAGAACAATGCTAAATCTGTTTCTTCTTATGGCATTTGGCAGACATGGTTTTTCGATCCTTTTCATTTCAACCTTTTGGATTATTTGATTAAAATCTACCTTCTGTATATACAATATAGTTGGATTTTGATTTTTTGAAACCCATCTAGGAGTCTGTTTTGGTTTGAGAACTGTTATGGGATTTAAATCCATTTGAATTTTTGTGATTAGTGATTGTTTTAACTCGTTTCTGCTAGTAGGTTTGTTTTCTGGTTTTTTGTAGGCTGTTTTTTTTTTTTTTTTTTGGCCAGATTTTCTCATGTTAGAGAAGAAATGCTCTTCCTCTACCCTTATAGATTCTTTTGGCGGGGGGGAGCTTAGGAATTAAACTGACAAAAGACAGATGAGCAAGAGAAAACTGACTTTTATGCCTACATGGGCACAGGGGCACAAAGAAAAATGCAACTCTTCAAACAGCTAAAGGTGAGATTATATACTGCACAGCGGAGAGAGAGGGGAGAGGAAGGGCTTCTATGAAAAGAACAAATCGGTTTCTAGGGGAGCAAATGGGAGATAAGAAGGTCTGTGGGAAAGTTTTGTTTATGCAGGTGCAACTGGTCTTTTCCATCTTCTTTCCAGCCAGTAAAGACTCCCCTAGAAAGGAGATTTATGCCAGGCTCGCTCCCAGAAGTTTTTGCTGTAGTCTGATAAGTAAGCTCTGAAAAAGCTTCTTTCCCTATCTGTTTAATCTCAAATGTCTTCAGTTTAAAATAATGTTCATACCCATGCCAGGGATCCATGAGAGACCTCATACTTACACTGTTTCTCAGTTTTCTGTTCTTGCATTAGAGGTATCGACTTCAGGTTTTGGTCCCTTATTTTATCTCTAGTGGTCTGGAAGTTATGACACTATTTCTGTTACTCTGATAGCTATTCAAATATTTAACATACATATTTACTTGTACTTTTTTTCATTTTGTGCATTTAACGAGGTTTATCTTTATCATGCATGAACCAAAGAAGGCCGACACCAAACGTCTGCTGTTACTTCTTCTACTTCTTAGTCCCCTGCCAACAAAAACCATTTAACAACATCATCAAATAATTAGACTGAACTATGCCTTTTAGTGATTCCATCACTCACGAGTGCTGATTATATTCCAGGTTTGCCTCTTTCTTGGTTTCTTCTCATTTTGCTGGAATACAATTCTGAGTAATTCTTTCAGACTTGAGTCTTTACATATTTAAAACTGCTTTCATTTTTGCCCAGAAAGTTCAGTTCAACAAAATATTTTATTTTAAAAATAATTGCCCTTCAATATTTGAAAGTAGTCCTCTACTAGGCTACTGTTTCTTGCTATTGTGATTTTTTTTTTTTTTTTGCTTTGAGAGCTTATAAGGGTTTTGCCTTTATCATGAGTGTTTTAAAATCGCAGCAAGATATTCAAGACATATGTCTCTTTTTATTCACCCTGCTTAGCTCTCAGTATGGTATTGGCACATGCATAAATGAATATAACCATCCCACTTCAATGCCATGGGGAGAAAGATGTATTGCTCAATAAGTGCTGTTAGAATTATTTTCTATCCCTTAAAGAAAAGTAAAGTTAGACCCTTACCTCATAGCATACACAAACATTTTAGGGAAAAAAAACCATACACAATAAAAAACAAACTATTTAGTAGAATAAATGGATAGTCTCCTGGTCTGGGACCCCAAAGCCATAAAGGATCCATAAAGGAAACAACACAAAAATGTGATTAGCTAAGGATGTAAAATTTATATTAAAAAAAGACCACAAATAATGTGAAAAGATGACTAGAGTAATTTCAAATGCATAATCCTTCAAGATAGATTGGTATGGGTAGTGGAGGAGAAAGGAGAATCATTTCTAGACTAATTTGCTTCTCGGGATAGGACCCATACCCTACATCCCTGCCCCACACAATCAGAACTTACTTATTTTTAATCTAAGGGTGCTAGAAGATGGCTCTCTTGATCCAGACAGCCTGAGTTCCAAGGTTCTGCCCAGGTTCTGGCCTCCAGCAACTCCCTCCTGGAACAGGGTAGTGGCCCCACTAGTCCCTCACCCACTGCGATGTGCTGCTTGCCATGTGCTACTTGTCACACTAACTTGGGGGGATTACAAAATGTGAATAGAACTTGGTTGCTCCCAAGGAGCTCACTGGACAGTGGGGAAAAACAAGAGTATCAAACTCACATCCGCAGCATCGTGTGATGTTTACAAAGAGTCCTCCAAGGTACACAGCAGCCCAGAGTAGGCGACTGTGGCCAGGCGTCAGGGACAGATTTCCAGAGAAGTCCAGTTGGACTGGTGGCAATTCCTTAGATTATAGCTAGTCCCTGACCTGATTATTCTGTTCTTTTCCCTCTCCCTTTCATTCCAAGCATATGCATTGAGGATCCTGCCACATTTAGTCCCTTCCAAGGTGATCTCTCCCCCTCCCCGCTAAGGGCCCTGTGCCATATGACCTAACTTACATATCTTTCCATGAAATGCCCCATCTTAAAAGTGAAAAAAGGCACCATTAACAGCAGTGCCAGGACCTCAGGCACAAACCCGGGCTGTCCCAGACAGACCAAGACGTATGGCCACCCTGCCGTGAACAGTTGCCCACACCCTCCCACTGGATGAGGCTCTCTCTCTTCCAGATCTTTCTAAGATGTTATGTCCCTGACATACGTCATCTTCTGCTCTGCAAGATGCACTTTGTGCCCTTGTCTTACAGCCACAAAGAGCCTGTCAAGGACTGGGAAAGGCACGAGGATGTGGAGTCAAGGCCTCAGAACTGCGTCAACAAGCCATTTAATTTCAGGAACCATTTCCTCAATTGTGAAGCAGAGTAATTTTAGATGACTTCACTGAAGGACACAAAAATACGTCAGATGAGACCACCCACGGTAAACTGATTTGCTACTGATTACACATGCCTCGAGGGCAGTGAATGTGCGTCTTCCTAGAAGCACAGTGTCTTACACAGAGTAGGTCCCCAGAAAATACCACCCGGCCGACTGACAGCATCAGCTCCACCGACCATGTGGCCCTGGCCCACAAGGAAAGCTCTGTTTCTCCAGGTTTTGATACAAGCAATGGGGCACATCCAGCTCGGGCCCCACACCCTGCACTGCTGAGGTCTTAGCATGCTGGGGAGGCCCAGCTGCCTTCTGATGCCTCACACACAACTTCCTAAGTCTCCTCCTGTGCAGACAGCTGAAGAGCGCATCTCTAGTGGGCAGTGGACACGCGCAGGGACCCCACAGCAGGCTCGGGAAGGGGCGGGGTGGCGGCGGACCCTGGCCCTCACCTGGCTGCCCGCACTGCTCCCTCAGGCAGCTCATGATGAAGACTGAACCGCCCATTGAGTTCCTGTCTCATGTATTTATCACACAGCCCTTACAACCGTGCTGGCTCTGTGTTCCACATCACAAAGATCAATAAGCTCATCTCCAAAAGCCGTGCTCTTGGGCACGATTAGCTTCAGGGCCCTTGGGGGTGCAGGGGGTTGGGGAGCTGCTCCGTGGACTGGCCCGTTGCCACATGCCAGAAGACAGCCTCACCCAGGCCACCTCAATGCAACACCATCCCCACAAAATTCTATTCACCGCAGCACCTGTCCTCTGCTTGAAATTCTGCTCAAACTCTTGCACAGACAGCAGTTGGGTTCTGTCATTCCACGCTCTGCTGTGGCACTGCCCTGTGGCCCACACTGGCTGGCAGGGGATTTGGTCAAAGAAAAGAAAATGTCAGATGCTGAGTGAAATCAGTCAAGAGGCGACAGTAAACCCCACAGCAGCTTCAGAAAAAGAAAAGAAAAGAAAAGAAAAGAAAACCCCACAGCAGCTTCAGAGAAAACAAACTCACTCTTTTTAGGAAGTGGAAGGCTGAGCCTGGCAGAGCAGCCCAGAGCAGGTGCGAAAGTGGAGCCAGCTCAGAGGGAGGGAAAGGGGATCTCTCTGCTTTTTAACTTTAGAAAATAAAGCACAAGAGACCGAGCTCTTTCCTGATGTGTCGAGAGACTGGCCAGTAATGAGTCAGACTATGGAGTCAGGCAGACCCAGCTGAGTGACCTCGGGCAAGTGGCTGAACCTCTCTGAGCACCAGCTTCCCGCCCTGAGATTTGTGGACACTCAAACAGACTTCATAAAGTCCAGAAAGAAGGCATAAAGCCACAATTTCCTGGCTATCATCTGCTGGCACTGGGCGAGTGCCCAGTAAAGGGGGCTTGGCTCCAGGGTGCTGAAGACCAGGAGCTGCGGGCAAGTAGGCTGAACGCAGTGCATGGGACCTTCAGTAAGCACCGGATGAGGCAGACAGCATTAACAGTCAGCCAGCGACAGTCCACTCACTCTGGTGCAGACAGGTGGGCTCCGAGTTAGCCCGAGGCAAACAGCTGGGCCATCAGAGGCTGATTAAGGACACACACGCACTTGCCCTTCCTCCCTTCCTCTTGCTGAGATGTCAGAAGAAACAACAAAAGCAAAACCTGCCCACTGCCACAGGCTGGGAGGAGTGTACAAGCAGAAAAGAACAGATAATAACTTCTGGACAAAATCACCTGATGGGAATCAATTGCTAACAAGTCAAGAGGAGAATATGAATAAATATTTTTTTTTAAAATGTTCAAAGCAAAAAGGAACTGAAACAAAAATTCTGTCAAAGGTATCAGGGCCTCTCCTGTCTCACAGTCAAAGCCAAGGCCTCCACGACTTGGTCCCCAGCTCCTCCCATCATGTCTCTGACCCTCTCTCTGAACCCTGGCTTCCCCATCCACCAATTCTCTCCAGCCACAGCAGCTGAATTTGCTCCTAGGACAGACCTGGATAGCATGTTCCCGCCTCAGGGCAATTGATGGATTTTTTAAAAGATAAAATCATGACACTTGCACAAATATAAAGTGATCGTGTGTCAAAGACTACTTAAGTCATTAATGAAGGAAGGAACCAGGAAAATGTTAAAACCAATTCTGCAGAGCATCCTAAAAGCAGACACATACAAAGACAACCAGGCACACTGATCTGAATCTGTCAACAGGGGAATTGGTCCACCAGCAAAACACATTTGCTTCTCCGTGGACTAGAATCATTGGTTTTGCCATCAGTTTTCTAGAAGTTAGAGTTGAAAACTAGTTTGAAGACCATGACAGGCACAGTCCACTACAGACTCAGATGACCAGGAAGGTGCCTGTGACCATGCCTAGTATTCTGTAGGAACCGAGGTGTCTTTTTTTCTCTTCCCTCACTATTTTTTTTTTTTTTTTGCATTTCGAAGTCTTTCACAAGCCTTCTTGACAGGGCCCCTGCACTGGCTGTTCCTTCTGTCAGGAACACTCTCTCCACTTGATATCACAGGGCCTGTTCCTTTGCAGCCCTCTAGTCTGTCTCCTGGTCTCTCCCTGACCTCTGGCTCAGCCCTCACTATTCCCTTTCCTGCTTCATTTTTCTGGGATCACCTACAATCTGGCCCATGCCTCCCTCCTCTCTTCCCCATCTCTGTTTCTCTGGTGGGTTTGGGTCTGGCTGGATCACTGCTGAATCCTTAGTTCCCAGAACAGTGTGTGATTATGCTGAGGGAGCCTTCACTAAATATTGGTTGAGTGAATGAACAAATTAAAAACAAACAGCAAGAGCGACCATGATGAGACCTGGGAGAGTGAGATGGACAGTTCGGAGGATGACTTTGAAGATGCAAACATAGGTTGGCTGGCTCCACTCACTGCTTTAAAACAAGCTGCTGCTCCCCCTCTTCCCACAACACATGATTTAGAAACAGCCTCCCTCCAGCTCAGGTGTGAATATCTGATTAATACAGAAGCTGTAACAGCACATCCTCAAAACTCCTTCTCTGAGATCTCCAGCAGCAAAATTACCTCTGCTCACCTGGAACTACTACTGTCTTAGTTTGTTTTCTGTTGCTTATAACAGGATGCCTGAAACTGGGTAATTTATAAAGAAAAGAATTCATTTCTTACAGTATGGATGCTGGGAGTCCGAGGTCAAGGAGCTGCATCTGGTGAGGGCTTCTTGCTGGTGGGGACTCTCTGTAGTGCCAAGGTGGTACCAGGCATCGCATGGGGAGGGGCCTGAAGGTGCTGGCTCAGGCCTCTCTTCCTCTTCTTATCAAGTTATCAGTCCCATTCCCATGATATCCTATTGATCCATTAATCCATGAATAGATTAAAGCATTCATGAGGGCAGAGCCCTCATGACCCAGTTGGCCTTCAAAGGTCCCACCTCTCAATACTGTCATATTAGGGGTTAAATTTTAACACAAATTCTGGAGAAGACAGATATTCAAATATTTGTAAAGGACAAATATTCAAACTATAGCAACCACATCACCTTCCAGTGATGCCCTTGGGCCCTCCAAGAGCCTGGCCATGACTGCATTATGAGCCTTTGAGCACCAGCAGGCCAATCTCGGTTAGGCTGAGGGATACCACAATTTCAGGAGCTATTAACCATGACAACACTACATCTCACAGATTCACTCCCTAAGATGCCATTCCATGTGTGCACTGCCATGACTCCATAATAGATACATCGCAGCCCACGTAGAATAGGCACCCCTTGCTGGGATGCAGGCTTGGGCTCTTCTTTAGTCCAGTGAAATTTGCCACCTGCCTGCCTCCTCTGCTCTGGCTGAGAACACCCTCACCCCTAGGACCCTCAAGTCCTAGGACTCTCTCCCTTCCACCCATATTGTTGCTATGCTCCCTACCAGAAGCTGAGATTGGATCTACAATCAAAGCAGGGTGAAAGCAACTAGAACTTGAGTGGATGGCTCATCTGCGCTGTAGCAGACCATGTCGACAATCATCCTCCTGTGCCCAAGGCCCTGACAGCTGCCTACTGCAAGCATCTGCAGCTCTGCACTTGATCCACACATGGGGCAGGCAAGCCAGAGGTGCCAGGGAGCTGACACCCCTGGAAGCAGCTCTCAGCCTATGATGGAAGGCAGCTGGCAGATAAGCATCCCAGTTTCCTCAGAACAAGGCTGAGATGTGCTATACACAGTCTCCCAGAGCTCCCCAGTAGGAATGGGCTCTGTTTGCCCGCAGTATGATTTGCTTTTCAATGCTCACTCCAACGGCTTGCCTGCCCTCCCTATCTCACTCCCCCTCCCCTCATCCTGCTTCCCAGGATCCCTTCCCAAATAAGCTACATGCTCAGGAATCCTTGTCCTGGGTTGGCTCCCCCAGGTTCCCTAAGACGCTTGGCAACAATGATGAGCACAATTATGAGTGCTTACAGGCTTGGCCACACTGCTCTCAAGTGTGTCCTGCATAGAGGTCCCCTCTCCAGCCTCTGCTATCAGCCACAGGGTCAGGAAAATGAGTGAAAGACACAACCCTGCAGATGACAAATGCAGCTTTGCACACTCAATGAAAATGGATGGCTGAAACCCCATGCTGTTCTAAACTTTCAGAGCCAACAAAAACATCTTTAAATATCTTCATCAAAAAAGATTTCCATTATTGCAATAGAATTTTCTGACCGAGCAACTCAGAAACAGAGAAGCCCAGAGAGGGTGAGGCAGTTGCCTGTCTCTGCACGGTGTAGGGGCATCCGCAGAGTTGCGGGATTCAGACTGTCCTTCTGCAAGCGGACTGCTGATCCCAGCAAGGCCTTTAATTCCATCCAAAGGGGAAAATCACGGCAAGCCATCCATAATTGCTACCCACTTTAGGCAAGATGGTGTTCAGAAAACTCCTTGAGCCGCAGGCTTAAAGTAAAGCAAAATAAAGCAACAAAGAAATGACTGGGATCAGCACCAGACAGAGACGCTTTTATTCGTGCCCATCCTCTCCTCAGAGCGACCTGGCCAGCTGGCTGGCAGCAGCATGACTTGTTACCCACCCATCAAGGAAATACAGCAGCCCATTCCACAAATGATGCAGAGATGGCTGTTTTGCAGTGACCCAGCCACTTTAAAGCATGGAAAATGCATTATATCTCAAAAAGCAATAGTGACTCACGTGGGGACTCCAATATCAAACGAGAATAGAGTGAGAAATAGGACAGACATGTTTGGGAGGCTTCAGCTGAGCTACATCAACACTGCTTTCAAAACTGGGGCTTACACAGGATGCATTTAACCCCCTCCTTTAGGAAAAGCCCCTCGACTCCATTCAGACCATAATGAACTAACAGATGAGTCTACTAAGCAGAACATATTATTTTCCACGCCTAGAAGCTGGCAGAAAGCATTAAATTCGGTATCTCTCAAAATCCCCAATAACAGAATATCAGAGGGTTAGGATATTAGTAGTGAAGACTATTTTTGCTATTTCCTGTGTGAATTTTTGGACTCAGTCTCAGTTGAATGTTTTCTAGGTTGCCTACATGATTTCTTTCCTTTGCTTTCTTTCTTCTCTGGCTGTTCTTAGCCGCACTGTATTACACTGATCCATCTTCTTCGCTCCTCCTCCTAATAATTCCTGCACCCTCCCTTCCTCTCTCCATCTTGTCTTTGCATAAATGTGTATCAAGTGCCCTGCTAGGTGCCCCTAAGAGGTAGCAGACCCTAAGTGCCATCGTGGACAGGAATCCTTTTCTACGTGACAGAGAAATGTGTTCTAGACTTGGCAGGGGTGAGGGTGTCAGGGAGGTTTCCCTTGCTAACTGGGAGTTAAGGGGTGGGCATTCCTCGCCCCGCAAGACGCTCATATAAACACTCTGCCTGGAAGCATTGGTGCATCAATGAGCCAAAGGACAAGCAGTAGGGCTGGAGAGTGGACGAGGCTACAGGGTAGGGATAGGCTGGTCAGCACATACCTGGGGGCTGCACAGTGTGTCCAGGCAGGAAGGGGAAGCCAGCCAGCAAGGGGGGGCAGAGATGACAAGATCTGTCTTGTTTAGAAGCTCTCTCCTCCTGCCTGCTTCTCCTCCCACATTGCCAATTTCAGCAGGCACATGGCGGAGCGTGCCTTCCCCTTCACAATGCACGCCTCTTCTGGTCTTTCGGTTTCCTGGGGCTTTACTTTGACCCTTGCAGTTCCACCGCTTTCCTTCCTTAGCTGTGATCACTAGTGTCCCCAGAGCACCCTGTGGCCTCCCTCTTGCCCTAGATAGGGGTGCTGATTTCCCCTTTCTTGACTCCAAGCTGGGCTCCTGCCTACTCTGACCAACAGAATGTGGAGAAGGGCTGTTGCGGGACCCTCACGCTCAGTCCTTAAGAGTCCCAGCAGCCTCTCCTTCCTTCCTGTCAGAGCACTGCTGGCCACCAAGCTGGGGGACACCGAGCCTTGTGGAAAAGGCCCAGAAGGGGTGGGTGCACAGTCCCCAGCTGAATGGCTGAGCTTCCTGCCAGGGCCGGCGTCCCCACCAGCTCAGCCCAGACCTGCCCCGCTGTGGAAGTGTACCCCTCAGCACATCGGCCCAGTGGAGCCCCAGCCCATGGCTGTGCCCAATGCCACGTGAAAGAGACAACCAGCCACATGGGCCTGGACAGCCCACGGCATCATGAGGAATAATCTGAGTTGTTTGCTTTAAGTCACTCAGTTCTGAGGAGTTTGTTCTGTAGCAATAGATAAGTGTCTATGAGTGGTTTAAATATTCTCTGAAATCTATTCATTCCACGTTGGGTTCATGTGGACCTGCGGGCCATATATTTAGCAGTTACTTCAAAATATATTTAGTAGTTACTTCAAAAAGAAAGTCCTACATTCCATGTCTCAGGAAAACAAAAGCAGAAATTGAAGCAGCCTCTACATCCTCCATGATGAAGCCTGGCGGACGTGGTCTATGTCCACCATGGGAAAGAGGAACGAGCAGGATCCTTCAGTAGAGCTCAACAGATGTGTGAGCGATGGGGTTCTGCACCGGCAGCTGGGTCAGGCATGTGGAGGTGGGGATCATTTCTAAGGGCCTGGACCCTGGTAACATTTGTCAGGTAGAGACTGCTCTATCTTTGCTCCTTGAAATTCAATTACAACTTGGAAATTCCTCATTAGCCAGAGCATTTGGAATCATCAAACATTTTACATTTTGGAGTTAAAGATCCTACACATAGGCCATATAAACTGCCTCTTGTAACCGTGTTAATAAGATTCCACCAACATGTTATACATATAATATGGTGGGGTGCTCTCTCTCTCTCTCTCTGTGTGTGTGTGTGTATGTATATGTATGTATGTGTGTGTGTATATGTGTGTGTGTATGTATGTATGTGTATATATATATATATATGTATATATATATATACATATATATATATATATATGTATATATATATATATACATATATATATATATATATATGTATATATATATATATACATATATATATATATATATATATATTTGGAGATAGCATCTCACTCTGTCACCCAGGATGGCAAGCAGTGATATAATCAAAGCTCACTGCTGGGCTCAAGGGATCCTTCTACCTCAGCCTCCTGAGTAGCTGGCACTACAGGTGCAGGTCACCATGCCCAGCTAATTTTGTTGTTGTTGTCGTTATTGTTGTTAGAGATGGGGGTCTCGTACACTGCTCAGGCTGAATGTTATAAAATTTATTCTTGATTTCAAACTTAAAAAATCCGAATTGGAAAATGAAAAACATTGATTATTTTTTTCTAAATTGTTAAATTACCATCTTGTTCTAAAAGCAGGAATCCTCATCATTCTGCCTGTAAACACACAACTGCCTTTACGGAATGTGTGCTCTTTTCCAAGTGCCAGACTAAGTGTGCTACACACATCCACAGAGCGATCCTCCGAACTCTGTGAAGCCGGCACTTTCCCCGTTTTTCAAAGGAGAAATCTGAGACTCAAAGGTTATACAGACTGTAAATATTACAGCTAAAATTAACACGGAGACTTCTTCAACCCTGACCCTTTGCCCTCAAAAAGTCAGATACAATGCCCTCATTATGGACTGAGTTGCATCTCCCTCAAACTCACATGTTGAAATCCTAATACCTGGTGCCTCAGAGTGTGGCTCTATTTGAAGACAGAACCTTTAAAAAGGTAATTAAAGTAAAAGAGGGTCATGAGCATGGGGCCCTACTCTAATTTGACTGCAGTGCTTACAGGAAGAGGAGACTAGGGCACGGACAGAGACAAGCGAAGGTCACGTGAACCCAGTGAGATGGCAGCCATCTACCAGCCAAGGAGAGAGGCTCAGAAGAAGCCAGTCCTGACAACACCTTCATTCAGACTTCTGGCCTCCACAATTGTGACAGGGTAACTTCTATTGTTTAAGGCTCTGAGTCTGTAGCACTTTGTTACAGCAGCCTTGGCAAACTAATACAGCCCCCCAAGAAACAGAAGACCCAAAGTCCAGGCATGGAAAGGCACATGTTTGATCCATTCAACAGGGGACCACTTACTCCTATTTTAGACGTTTTTCAAAGCTCAGTTGTCTGAACTAATTTGAGAAGCAGAAAAGTGGCAGCAAATGAGAAGAGGATACTCTTCTAGAAACGGGCCCAATGATTCAAGTGAAATGTGGCCGGCCCCCAGATGCAAAGACAGAGGCAGAATGAAAAGTCCATACAAGAAATAGCATCGCCCAGCCTTCTGGAAGTAGCCATGTAGGACAACACATTGCTTGTCCAGCGGGATCACCGAGTGACCATGGAGGGCAATTTGGTCACACTGTTCCCTGCATCAGGAAAGCCTGGGCTTCCTTCTTCATGACCAAAGGTAGCGGTCATGATTAGGAAATAACTTTCTTTTCATGATGTTATTTATGAGGTCTGACACCTTATTAGTCAGAAATGTTCTGGGATCCCTTATTTGACTATGCAGTTTAACGAGAAATTTTACTGCTTCTAGAAACTTACCCTGCCTGAATAATTGCCTTTTAGGCATCTGGTCTGCAAGTCAGACTGTCTTGGTTTACCGACGTGTCCCTTATTTCCTGACCTCAGGAGAAAGACTATTAGAAATCAGGTATATACCCTGCAGGGGAAGTTTCTGCATGCAGCTAGAGATGACAGTCCTCACGCTCACCTGCAGCCATCTCTGCCACAGAACTCTCCAATGCACAACAGGGAACATAGACGAGGATGTGGGTCCAAACTGTGGGCTCCAGCAGTGCATCCCATAGGCCAGCACTTCCTGCTGTTGGTCATAACTGCTGCCATTCAGAGAACAAAGGTACTGCCTTATGCAAGAATACTCCATGTGCCAATATGCACAGAAACAACACTAGGCCCCGAGAACATACAACTTCATGGGCGTCTTAAGTAGCAGGCTAGCCAGCGTGTGCACGTGTGCATGCCAAACCAGGGAATGCTGGCTTACAGGGACAGAGCTGCTTCTCAAAGGCCTGGCCGCTCGGAAAGCCGTGTAGGGAGCAGTGGCCCCAGATCATAGATAACATATCCAGCATCTCTGTGAAATATTCAAATATACGTGATAGCTACATGTATGCAAGCATAAAATCATTTTTTTCCTTTGTTCAATATGCTTACCTGTTATAGAGAAGAATGTCTGGTTTCCAAATCTGGCCATCTGGGAAACGAACAGTCTTCACCCCTGGATATTCTGACACATTCCACTGTAAATAGTGATCTGTCCAAGACTGACACACACAATGACATTAGCAGCACTTCACTTCCTTGGCTACTAATATTTCTCATAAGCGATTATTAGGTAAGTGCAAAACCAAAGAGAATTCCAGACATTTATTATAACTGAATTGCTATTTATAAAATATAATGAAAATGGGAATTCAAAAATCCTTTCCAAAATGACTGTGAAGAGCATAAAACTCACATTTAAGGTTCTGCTGTCACCATGAACACATTCAGATGGTATCATTAAAGTTAATTCCAACCCTCTGCATGTCCCCGAGCCTTCTCCTCCTGCAGTAGATGGGTTACTTCTAGCCAAATGAATAACTGTTTTGCCTTAGAAGTTTTCACTGTAAGAATACTTCGAAAAAAGGAATTCACTTATTTCCACTGGACTAAGAACCAGGCTGGAGAAATGTGGAATATTTATTTCCATAAAGCAATACTGTGCAGCTGCATGGGAACCTCTCAGAATTTCTAAAGGAATGTTTTCAGATTTGAATTTTTATTTTGTCACAGGGATAGTGCTTCCGACACCCGACAATGCAAATCCTGAGCCCTGATGGTGAAACGCAGAGTCAGGACGAAAGGAGGCAGGTGAAGACTCAGGAAGCACTCACACAAGCTCACGGCCAGGCCTTAATTGAGGTTATCGAGTGACTTTTGCCAGAGGAATACCCACGTCTGGGGTCATCCCTCCGAGGATCAGGTGCTAAACAGCCCTTCCTGGAGCCCACAAGCTCTGCAGAGGATGCTCGGGTGGGATCCCACCTGCAGCTGCCACATAACCAGTACCACCCCACAGGAGGCTCAGGGCTGACAAGTATGAGCCCAGAAGCTCCTATAATTGCACCATTATCCTGTATTCTGTCCCCCTGGTACCACCCATGCTCTGAAGCTCAGGCTTTCCAAGATCCAGAAAGGTATGTGATGCACCACCCCAACCTGGGACCAGGGTGGCTCCTCACAATCAAATACATGGTAATTTCTGCAGCAAAACATGCCTATTTGCACTAAGTGAGACAAATAAATGCCTCAATTCACATAGATTTCAATTTGATTTTAGACCAAAATAATTTGACGCAAAGTTACGAAAACAACATCAAAGGAGGGGGAAAAATTTTCAGAGCTGCTGAGATTTGGGAATTGCAGATGAGGGGCTGTGGGCCTAGAGCTATTGATACAACAAGGGAAGCAAAGGGCATGTCCCAGACCAACCATTCTCTGAGGAGGGCAGGCAGCATCCAGAAAGATGGTCCCAAGTCTGGAAGGATCTAATCTGACATCAAAGGAGAGGAACTATCCAGGTGAGTGACATCATTTTGCAGCCAGGGACCTCCAGGAATGAGGATGTGTTAATGGGTGATGTGCAGAAGTATCCTCTGGGGCATTCAGGATCGACAGCTGCCTGCTGGGGTCTCTAATGAGATGGAAGTGGTTGGGGAGGGGACAGGAGGGGCACACCCAGGAATGGTGGGTCTTGTCCTAGTTGTCTTCCAGGAATGCCTGGGCACCAACCAAGCCATGCTTCCTGCAGCTTGCTCCAACTTGGCACCTCTGCCCTGTGCTTCCCTTCATTTCTCTCCCTTGCCCTGGGCACAAGGCCCTGCCACAGCCAACACCTGTGCTTTCTGTGCCACAGTCTTGCATCTCACCCTGGGATGCTTCTCTGTGTCGGTCACTAATTATCACAGAGCCAGTCACGTTCACCATTATTACCACACAGGTCAGGGCCCCAAGATTCCACGAACTGCCCTGGAAAGTGGGCATGGTAGGCCAAGGCACTTCTCTCCTTCTCCTCTGCCTGCTGAATGATGGCCAGAGAGGGAGGGGAGACAGGAACTGGGAATGGGAATGGGAGTGCTTGGATGGTCAAACCCAGACCTCGTCCAAGGCACAGCCAGAGCTGTACGCTGCCTCCCCACACCCCGCACACCCCACTGCGTAAACCACGGGCTCATCCCCTCCCCGGCCAGATCACAGCCTTTATGCTAGTCCAGTGTCCTGTGTATGTCCAGACTCACCATAGCAGACTCACCATAGTTCGGGGGGGTCAGTGATATGACTGCTTCCATTTACAAGAGGACGCCAGGGTTCAGAAAGCTAGGATGTTTTAGTCAGTCACTGGGTCAGGGCTTACCTGTGTTATTTGACTTTAAGCAAACTGATCTTTGGGTTCTACCAGAGCTGGTTCTTCTGGCTCAATCTCCCTGATGCTGCTGCCCATCTGCTGTTTTCCCTTGCCCCAAACCAGGCTGACCATTGTGTCAGAGGCATTTAAACCAGGGAAACTCCATCTTAAATAGGAGCTGGGTAAAGCAGGGCTGAAACCTCCTACTGGGCTGCATTCCCAGATGGTTAGGCATTCTAAGTCACAGGATGAGACAGGAAGTTGGCACAAGATACAGGCCATAAAGACCTTGCTGATAAAACAGGTTGCAGTAAAGAAGCCGGCTGAATCCCACCAAAACCAAGATGGCCACGAGAGTGACCTCTGGTCATCCTCATGGCTACACTCCCACCAGCTCCATGACAGTTTAGAAATGCCAAGGCAACATCAGGAAGTTACCTTACATGGTCTAAAAAAGAGAGGCATGAATAATCCACCCCTTGTTCAGCCTATCAAGAAATAACCATAAAAATGGGCAACCAGCAGCCTTCGGGGCTGCTCTCTCTATGGAGTAGCCATTCTTTTATTCCTCTACTTTCCTAATAAACTTACTTTCACGCCCTGAATTCTTTCTCACACTAGATCCAAGAACCCTCTCTTGGGGTCTGGATCGGAACCCTTTTCAGGTAACCGTAGTGGCAGAAAAGGTAGGGGGAGCTGCCAAAAGCATCCGCATCAGACAGACCTGGGTTTGCACCAAGGGTCTGGCAGAGACTAGCGGCGTGAGCTTGTTCAGGTAAATCATTGTCTCTGAACTGCAGTTTCCTTACATGTACCCTGCCTCACAGGATGAGATGAGATAATGTGTGCAGCAGCAGATTAAAGTCATATGGCCCTGGCAGGCAAGTGATGAATGGTGGCTTAAAAAAAGAGAGAGAGATTTCCCCATTTTACAAAATCCTGCTGGACTTGGGAGCTGTAGTAACAGTCATAACATAGCTGCAGCCAAGGGTGGGGAAGACTGAGTGCCAACATGCAGTGGGAACCTCATGCTGTGTGCCCTGGAGCCCAGGTCCACAATCCTGAGCCCGGGGGCCCCACCAGCAACCCCCACAGGCTCCCATGACGGTTTCCCAAGAATGGATATGGAATAAGGCCCTACAAACAACAAACTTCTAGAAAAAAGGTTGTTCTCTGAAAGCACTTGGTTCCTAGGTCCCTCGGGAACAGGGGGCATCAGACAAAATCTTTGTAGACAGCACCTGACACGTTTTCCACAGAGTGGGGATCTGAAAAGAAGCGTCAATGAACCTAGACTCCCAGACAATCACATTTAGAGGAGTGTGTGCTCTTCCTTCTCTCCCTCCTTTTGTGAGATTCCTTCTCATTAAATCTTCAAAAGAAGAGTGTGTGGAGTTGTGAGGGGACACTGAAGGGAAGGGAGGAAGGGGCCATTGATCTAAAAGGCACTGGGGGAATCCCAATTCTTCCATGGCTCTGGCACCTGGGCCCTATTTGTGCTGCTTCGAGCCCACAGGAAACTCTAAATGTGTGTGGATGCTAGTGGCATGGAAGCATTGAGGGAGGGCGGAGGAGGGGAAAGGGATGAGAGAGGGGAAGGGAGGGAGGAAAAAGGAAAGTTATCTTTCATTAAAAAAATACATTATGGTGTAATAAGAAAATAGATTTGGTTTTCCTGGCACAGAGCTTCCAAAGCCCTGGGAATTTCCTGAGTGAGAGGAGTGTCTTTTGTGATTCATACAGAGCCCCTTCTGACCATGCCTGAGGCCTGAGTTTACGCTGATGAGGTGACTTAGGGTTGGGCACCTAGATAGCTTTCATGGGGGCTGGTCACCTAGTGACTGGAGTAAAGAGCTTTCTGCCCATTGCACTCACAGCTCTGGGGAGGGGTGAGAAAGGGGCTCGAGACGGGGTTATAAACACTCTTGGTCAGCACATCCACTTGCAGGGAAGGTGGCCACTGGCGAGAAGTTACGACAACAGCTCCGCGCACCCTTGCGGCCACGACGCCCTGTCCGCTGCGTCCTTCCACTTGGTTCCTGAGCTGCATCCTTTAGAATAAGCCAATAAACCTAAGTCATGGGTTTTTCTCTTCCCGAGTTTCATGTTGCTGAATTCCTGTTCTGAAACTCTGAATCCATGTAATCTTTTCTCCAGGGTATTTTATATAAGTAGATATTAAATATTTATTTAATAAATATATTTTATTTATAAATATATTAAATAAGTTTGTATATTATTTAAAATTTTATTAAGTAAGCAAAGTATTTTCCTGAGCTCTGTCAGTCATCTTAGAAAGTTATTGAACCTGGGGGAGAAGGGTATGGGAACCCTCGAATTTTCAGTCACCTGCTAGACATGTGGGTAGCCTGGGTACACCATTTGCAGCTGGTATCTGAAGTGAGACTGAGCCCTTTAACCTGTGGGATCTGATGCAACTCCAGGTAGATAATGTGAGAAATGAATTGAATTGGTGGACCCCCAGTTGCTGGTGGAAAATTGGTTGTTGGTGCTAGAAAAGTCATCACACGTTTGATGTCAGAAAACACTGATCTTTTCAAAATTATTCCCGTCCATTATTTTGTTAGTGGAGGAAAGCAGCCTTTCCACCCCACTGACCCTGACGCTTTCTTCTCTTGGTGAGACATAATGATTGACACATCGCTCTTCACCTTGAGATGCCGTCACAGCCCTAAGCAAGCCACTAGCCGGCTTGTCTGTAAACAGGAAGCGTGGCATTTCCATGTGTCAGAGATCAAGTGATGATGAATGCAGAAATTAAAAAGGTAAATATTTTAGAAAAAATAACAGCTTAAAATCTTATCATCTATGGTGTGAATGCTATTAGTACCATAATTAGAATTAGGAGGTTAAAGTTAGAGAAGGACCCAGGAAGGCTGGGACATCAAATGCCAGGAGAATGGTCACAATTGCAAAATGACAGAAGACAGATGTTTTAAAAGCAAATGTAAGTCTCTGGATGGTTCAAATGTCTCTTCAGAAACTGAAATGGCTTCTGTCATTTTTTTCTCATAGATTAAATCAGATTATGTCTGACAACCCTCTCAAAATGATAAAAACTAATCTGCAGAGAAAACTGGCTGCAGAGGAACCGGCTGCAGAGGAACCAGCTGCTTCCTCCTCGGAACATGAAGAGGTGAACAGAGAGATGAAGCCTCTTTCTCCTCCCTCACGTTTCTGAATGATCAAAATCAAGGGCAACTGGGAGAAAGAATAACAAAACCAACAAACTGGAGGTCAAGGAGAGTTTTTTTCTTTTTTTTACCTTTCTGCCTTTTCCATTTTTAATAAACAGAAAATGTATCATTTGCAGAGTTTAAATACCCTAGAGAAAAGATTATGTGGATTCAGATTTTCTGGACAGGAATTCAGCAACATGAAACTCGGGAGGAGAAAAACCCATTGCTAGAGCCGTTTTTATGGCTCTCTGCCCCCGGCCCACATTTGCACCCCCCTCAGAACCCTGGCCCTGAGAGCCTTCAGTACCCAGCTTCACTTGTGCATGTCCATTATCGTGCTGGGTCAAGCCAGGCTGGTCCCCAGCCAGGGAACACAAGAACAGCAATCAATGGAAGGTTGCTTAGAAGTGGCCTCTGGGCAGCATCCAAGCTTGCTCTGGTGACTCCTGAGTTCCTCATGTCCATGCTGTGGACATGAATAGAAATGCCAGGGCTTCCAGACTGAAACACTGGGTGGGGGCGGGGAGCAGAGAGACACAGGCACTGGCTAGATGACTGTTAAGGTTTGTTTTAAACCCAGGATTCTTGTGAGCCCTTAAAAATTCAGTTGGGAGACAGTGTTACAACTGCTAGATCATCTACAGGTGCCGCTTTCCAGATAAATGTTATCACCCAGCTTTATGAGGGCACACCTTCTAAGGGAATCCAGCATGTTTCTCAATCGGTAGGCACCTAAAAGTAAACATTAATGACAAAATACTCAGAAATGCCAGTGCTCCCAGATCTTCACGTTTAGGAGAATTTGTGCCTCTCCTTCTCTCCCATTTCTTTAAAGCAGAGATTTCTCCCACGTCTGGCCTCTACTATCTGACCACCAGCTGTCATCTGTAATATCCCTGGGGAGATACTTGTTCTTGCTATTTTAATTTCCTCCTCCTCCTCTTTTCCTCCTCCTCCTCCTCCTTTCCTCCTCTCCTCCTCCTTTCCTCCTCTCCTCCTCTTCCTCCTCCTCTTCCTCCTTCTCCTCCGCCTCTTTTCCTTCTCCTCCTCCACCTCCTCCAACTCCTCCTCCATTTTTCCTCCTTTTTTCCTCCTCCTCCTTCTCCTCCTCTTTTCCTTCTTCTTCTCCTCCGCCTCCTTCTTCTAAACGTGTTAATTACACAGCCTGATCATAAATGGCTTAAAGGTAGAAACTGGGTTATGTATTTCTGGGTCCCCTCACCTGGCCCAGTTTAATACCTTCCACAGAGTAGGTTGCTCCAAGAGGAGGTGAGTTAAAAGGTGAGTTTTCAAACAAATGAAGCTGCAGATGCTTCTGCAAATGTAAGCCTTAATTAAAATTAGCTGTGCTTGAAATAAATTTAGAGGTCTCTGGTGACACCCTCTGAAGCAAGGATGTTTATTTGTGGAGCATCTGAATTCCATACTGGAAGTAATAATCCAGTTACATTTTTCTTGGAAACCACCATCCTTTAAATAAAATTGCCAAATCATATACATTGCTGAAGACCAGTCACTTACTGAGGGCTAAGGAAGATAGGCACCAGGGAGAGAGACCTCTCCATAACATGCATTTCTCTCTGTAAGAAAAATGTCAACAGCAGCGTTGTTCCTTAGAGGGCATGGCAAACGTCCAACTTTAATTAAAAAGGGAAGCACTTGCCTCATTCTCCGGAGCCTGGCCTTATACACACAGTACGAAAGTGCTGCACGGCCATTCAGGAGATGGCTTTATGTTGTGTCACGCTACCCAAGCACCTCAAGGTTCACCTTGAGTTTTTGCTTCATTCTCTCATTCGGCAAAAGTTCTTTGGTGCCCGCTACAGGTGAGACAGTGAACTAGGGGCTGTGGGTACGGCAGTGACCGAATGCACCTGGAGCCCTGTCCCCCACACTGTGCACACATTCTAAGGGTGATGAAGACTCAGAACCAATGAACAGATAGACGAGTGAACACAAAGCGGGTTACATGGTGAGAAGCCTTTGGGAGAAAAATGAAACAGGATAAAGAGAACAGAGTGGGCTGGAGGTGGAGGGGAGGGTTTGGGACAGTACATCGGAGCTCAAAGAAGACTCAATGAAGAGTTGACCTTTAGGAAGAGATCAGTGAGAAGTAAGGGGGAAATCAAGTGGTTCTTAGGGACGAGTCTTCCTGGCAGGGAGAGCAGCCAGTGCAAAGGCCCTGAGGGGGGGGCACGGGCTCGGGTGACGTGTGTGTCACCCAACAAGTGGACAGTGAGTGCAGCCAGGAAACAAAGAACAGAGGGGAGGGGAGAGGAAAAAGGAGCCAGGCAAGAAGGGAATTGAATCCAAGGCCACTTCGAGGACTTCAGTTCCTATGCTGTCCAGGGAGACAGGAGCCCCTGGAGGGATCTGTGCCAAGAAGGTATATGCTGGCTGCTATGTTGAGGACAAGACACCACCAGAAGAGGCAACACTGAAGCAGGAAGGCTGGATGGGGACTCCTAATAATGGAGGTGAGAGATGACACCCATGTAGACCAGGGTGAAAGCATCATGGTTGATGCCCAGTAGTTAGATCCTGGATCGGTTTTGCAGGTCAAGCTGCCAGGATTTGTTGATGTATCAGAGGTGAGGTGTGCGAGACAAGAGTTAAGGGTGACTTCAAGGTTTTTGGTTTGAGCCAATGGATCCATGGCTTTAACATTTATCCAAATGAAAAGTCTGTGGGAGAGACAAGAGTGAGAATGACCCACGGACACTATTTTGATGCTACTGGCAGCGAGGACAATCATTAATGCCAGGCTCTCAGCAGGGGCCAGGAGATGAGTCTGTCCATGGGAAGAAGGCCTGGGCCTTCCAGGAGAGCACAGATCATGTGTCCTGGGCAAAAGGAGGGAAGCTAGAGTAGGTGGCAAGGGATATGCTCACTGAAGTATGCTGCTTTAAATCCTGCAAGGGAATATCTCAAGGGCTCTCACCTGACTGTTAGGTTCTGCAGGAGTCTCACATGTAGCTATGGGTGCACCTTGGAGACCTAGCAATGGCTTTAAGCACATCCATTTTCTTTTTCTTTCTTTTTTTTTTTTTTTTCTTGAGATTGAGTCTTGCTCTGTTCCCCAGGCTGTAGTGCAGTGGTGCAATCTCAGCTCACTGCAACCTCTGCCTCCCAGGTTCAAGTGATTCTCCTGGCTCAGCCTCCTGAGTAGCTGGGATTACAGGTGTGCACCACCACACCCAGCTAAGTTTTGTATTTTTAGTAGAGACAGGGTTGCACCATGTTGGCCAGGCTGGATGCAGATCCATTTTCTATCCCTCAACTCCACGTGTATTCGCAGGATAACTCAACTGCCCAAGAACCACATGGGACTATCCTTTGCCTCCATTTTCACTTCTCCCATTCAACTTTATAAAGAAGGGCACATTTCTCTTATCTTACCTCAACTCCCATCTTGGGACACTGACTCAAGAACCAAACAAATGGTCAATTCAAGTATCAGCGTTTGTGTCTGTGTGAATTACCTTACAAATTGGGTGGCAAATACTTTCAAAGGTCAGGTGGGTTTAAATTCTTTTCTTTGTTTTCAACAAAATTGAAGGAGAAACTAATCAAGCTGTCAGCTGATACATTTGATAAAAACTACATTATTTTTGGCATATAACCTAGAAGAAGTTCAAAGATGGAGTAACATTGCTTTAACAAAGTGGCTTTCATGTCCAACTACTCATGTTACTACACCTAGTTAAAAAACAGCAACAGAATTGAAGTGAAAACTATCATTCTCTCCATTCAAGTAATAAAAAGTCATCTGTGGATACATGAACTAATTTAAAACAAACTCATCTTGGGCAGAGATATAAATTGCCAATAAAAATTTATGTTTTATAATTACTTAAAAATTTTAATTTATGTCACCTTGATGAATTATAATACCAATAACAATAGCAAACTTAAATCAATCCAAAAGAAACAAAATTTAATACTTACGGTGTAAAGGAATAATTCTTGTGTAAATATTTACATTTGAAAAAACCAAGGCACGATTAATAAAAGACTTTTGGCCCTGCACGGTGGCTCATGCCTGTAATCCCAGCACTTTGGGAGGCCGAGGTGGGTGGATCACCTGAAGTCAGGAGTTCAAGACCAGCCTGGCCAACATGAAGAAACCCTGTCTCTACTAAAAAATACAAAAACTAGCCGGGTGTGGTGGTGCCTGCCTGTAATTCCAGCTGTTCGGGAGTCTGAGGCAGGAGAATCACTTGAACCTGGAAGGCGGAGGTTGCAGTAAGCCAAGATTGCGCCACTGCACTGCACTCCAGCCTGGATGACAGAACAAGGCTCTGTCTCAAACAAACAAACGAACAAACAAACAAACAAACAAAAAAGAGACTTTCAAACATAAAATTATATTACATTAGGATAAAATTCCGTATAGAAACTAGAATAGAAATGCATGTGCAAAGAGAAAAAAGGGACTACGTTAAATATCTGACAGTTTAAAAAAAGGCTTGTTCATATGGTGTTTGAATGAGATGGGCACCAAATTATTATGGTATTTTGAATTCCATTTAAAATAGAGACTGACTGTTTCATTTTTCAGTGTTAATATTTACAATTGGATGTTAAGTGGCATCATTTGCAATTATCAAATTTAGATTAGTATTGCAGATGTCAAGTTAAAAATCTACAAATGATAGGTAGCATTTCAAGATTCTTATAAGCATTGCTAGAGCACAAAGTACGAGGGCCTCTGGTTTCGGAACACTCCACCTGATTCAAACATGCAGCTCCGGAGGCCACAGAGGGCAGGGATGGAGCTTCTGAGTCCTGGGGACTGGCTGTGGTGCAGGTTGTGGACATCTACACACAGCCCTGTATCTTCTTGTCTTGCCTGAAGTGCTTCTGAAGTGTCCCCACATTACCTTGTCCTATGTGTTGATCTTGTGCATGTGTTGAGCACTGCAGACTGTAGTGTCATACAGCCAGCATTCATTGTTGGCAGGTGTGGAGTTGGTGTGACAGCCATGGCCTTTTGTTTTTTTGTTTTTTTTTCCTAAACAGGACCTCTCAGAAGCAAGCATCTCAGGTATCAGAACAAGAATCTTGGGTGCAAGATCTTGCAGCCCATGGGAGAGATTGTCATTCTCTTAACTTACCATTTGCAGCCAAATGTTGGTGGTTAAAACTTGGTTCTTCTCATCCTTCAAAAAAAAAAAAAAAGCAGCAGCATAAATAATATGGTTTACAAAAGAAAGAATGAGACAATTATTCACATGGGGATCTGACTGTCGAGAGCGTTGTTGTGTGTGGAAATTAGAATGCACCAAGCACTTCCAATATATGCAAGCAGCATTTCCCTAGAGTTAAGCTTTTCTATTTATTCCAAAGTAAGACACATTTATTATACAGCACTTAAAAAAGATGGAAAAGTATAAAGAAGAAAATTAAAACTCTGCAACCTTACCATCCAGAAATGATGCCTGCTAATGATTTAGCTATTTATCTTTGTATTTTTAAATAATTCATATGCTTAAAAAAAAACATAAAAGTAGGTGAAAATACAAGTTTTTAAAGTCAGGTTTGTTTCCAAAATATATATGCTTTTAAACAAATACAAGTATGTTATGCCTCCCTCCCCCAGGAAAGGGGCCATGGCCCTGTGTGGAGCTGCTGCACCCTGTGTGAGTGGTGCCATGAGGGCCATGACTCTGCCTTGTCCCTGCAGATCTGGGCTTTTCTCTCAACCTCTAACTTCTAGGAGGCACATCGGGCTCTTGAAATACACCTGAAGGTAAAGCCTACCCAGGTGATAAACTAAAGGTGAGAAAGATGAGGTGACTTTAGAAGCAGCCATTCAAACTTGGATCTTTCTGACTCCAGAGCTTATTTTCCTACATTTCCAAAACACCTCCCTGAGTTCTGCCTCCAGCTAAGCCTATGCACTAATCAGGGAGCTTGGCTAGTGTACCAGCTGTGACTTTGCTCCAGCACAGGACGTACAGAGAAGAGACCCGTCAAGACTGGCCTTTCCAAATGGGAGGCAACTTGCGTTTTAGTACGGCTGACCAAGCCCAGTGAAAGGAGGCAAATGAGTGAATTCTGTACAATAGTCATACTGAGAATGTTGTGATTCAGCATGAAATAATCAACTCCAACGTAAAGGACTCTGTGAATTAGCAATTGACACCCTCTCCAGGGAAAATATTAATTAATGCCCCTGTGAAGATGTTCCCAGAAGCTGAAACCTCAAGCTCCCGCAATAGAATCTACTTGGCCTGGTTCACCGATGGGAAGTTTCAAAAAAAAAAAGACCCAAAGGCAGAAAGAACGTGGCATCTGCTGGGGCATGTCAGTGAGCAGGGATGCAAATGAAAAACGAATGCTGCCTCTCATTAAAATGAAAATGCGTTCAGCATGTAAGCAGTTGACAGGGACATCAGTGCCCCAGCCCAGTTGCTCACATGTTGGGCACCTCTGGGGTGAGATGGGCCAGGTGGGGCAAATCCCACAGAGAGGAGAGGGCTGCCTGGGGAGGGACATGGGATGATGTCTCAGGGGACCCCAGGCCAGAGGCAATGTCCACAAGATGCTGAACATTTATTCAGTTACAGGAAAAAATATATCCCATTTTCCTAATAAAATGTGCCAGGAGTTTTTGGTGGGAAAAGCTGTAGAGCTAACATGTCTCTGTACTCTGCACTGAGCAAATGATCCCCAACAGAGCTATCCATTTAAGTGGCTGGAGCACTCCAGTTCCAGTTCAAGCTCCAATATTATTGGGAAGCACTGTTAAAACTCTTCAGAACGTGTATCTGTTGCCTCAACTTATTAAGGAGTTGTTGTTTTTAATGGACTTAAAATTAGCAAGGGTTCCATTTAGGTGCCTTTCCTTCTTTTAATTGCATTTGTGTCTTCATCTGCTGAGAGAAAGGCTTCTGTGGTTTGGGAGCTCAATTACTACGAATCTAATTAAAAGGCTTTCTTCTTTCCAACATTCTAACAGAAACCCCATTAGAGAACACTGAATTTCAGTGGTGTGTGGCAACTTGGGACCAAGTGCAGCTTTTCAAACTGTAATCAACAAGCAGCAGCCACCACCACCTGAGCATGCAGGGATACCCGTTAGGGGAACCCCCCACAAAGACTCAAGAGGGAGAGAGGAGGGCATGAGGAACCATGCTCCCAGAACAATCTCCCTCCTCTTGGCACCTGTCCGGGCCACACACGGTCTGAGTCTCTTGGCTCTCTGTTTGCAGTGACAAGGTCCCTCACCTCCTTCCCATTCCCACTGTGCAGCCTGCTGCCCCTATGCACATGCAGGTGCACACACACAGAGGCTGTCCTCTACTCATCTTCACACTGGACTTTCTGACCATCCATATGATCAGATCACCCTCCTCCAACTGCACTGCCCAAAGGATCAAGTCAAGAATCTTGAGTGAAGTGCACAAGCCATTGCTACAAGCCATGGTCCAGCCGAGTTTTCATTCATTCGTTCATGCAACATTTATGGAACACCTCCTGTCCCCAGCATTATGCTTGCCTGATGTGTGCAGTGGAAATTAATATTGCTCCTGAGCTCCTAGAATAAAAAGTGTGTGTGTGTGTGTGTGTGTGTGTGTGTGTGTGTGTGTGTGTGTGTGTGTTGGTGGGGGGGGATGAGGTAGGATTCTACAACACAATAATGATACACTTATAACAACATATAACAACAAATGGTAACAAGGATCACGGAGGGAGGGAAAACAGGGTCCCTACAAGGAGGAAGACAAGGACATGGACTTCACCCAGAGTGACAAGGGGTGGCGTCCTGGGGCTGAGCCTCTGCTTTAACCACCTGTGATCCTGCAATACCACAGTATGTGGATCCCCTCACATCCACCATGTGCACCCAGTCCTGAGCCTTTATCCCTCGGTTCCCACCACCAGCTCTGCTTTCCAAGGCTCTATCCAGGCATTACTGTCTCCAGGCCCCCACGCCTGTGACCACAGATGAGAGGCAGTTGCTGCAGGACTCAGTCTCCTCATTTGCAAAATGGCTCTTGACTTACCCCTTTCCCCCTTCTCAAAGAGGTTCTGTGGGACTCTGGCAGCAATAGGTCTGCAGGTGCCGTGTCTTCTCCTATAAGACCTTGACCGGCTGGCAAGAAAAGCCCTCCCTCCCCAGAGGCTGCTCCAAAAGCAGGTTCAGAGTCCATCTGTCCCCTCCCCTTTCCCCACAGCCTTTTCCTTCCTCGATCCTTGGCAAGCACGTCCCGACCCTGCTGCACTAAAGCTGAGCTCAGCCCCCTGCTTCCTGACAGGCTTCTTTCTGCACAGAGGACCTGGGGGAGGGCTTCAGCTCTGCACTCAACTTCCTTGCCTCGGGATTTGTACTTGGCCACACAGGCTGCAGGTGAACTGGGAGACCTGGGGATGGTGGCCACACCTCTGAGTGTGGAAAGTCCCCAGATGGAATTATAGTTCCCACATGGCCCTCTGGCCCCCGGCAGAAGGACATTCAGGGCAGGTATGCAGGGGCTCCACTCCCACTGCCCAGAATTTACCTAGGGACAAAATCCAGTTCCTCACCCCAGGAGGGAAGTTTCCTTCTCTTTCACCCAAATATCCTTCACTGCTGCCAGAGCCCCCAGCCTGCCATGCAGCACTTGAGCATGAAACCATGAATCAGCAGGCAGAGCTGCCTACAGCAGTCACTCCCTCCCAAGTTGGAGGCCACCCGAGTCAAACAAGGGGGTTCCTGCAAGAGAGGGGACAGAAACATCCAACCCTGGCCCAGAGGCCTGTGAATAAATATGCACATTTAGTCTCCCGAAGAACAGTATTCCACAGGAACCTAGGGGCCTGCAATTAAGTAGCACAGACTCTATGTTTAATTCCATTTGGACGCTTATAACAAAATATCATACACTGGGTAGCTTATAAAAAATAGAAGTTTGTTTCTCACAGTTCTGGCGGCTGGAAGTCCATGATTAACCTGCCACTATGGTTGAACCCTGGTGTCTGGTGGGGGCTGGCTTCCCGGATCATAGGCAGCCACCTTTCACTGTGTCCTCGCATGGTGGAAGGGGCGCGGGAGGTCTCTGGGGCCTTGTATATATGGGGACCATCCATCATGACTGCACCGTCATGGACTAATCACCTCCTAATACCATCGCCTTGGGGATTCAGATCTCAACATATGCATTTAGTGGGGGAAAAAAACATTCAGACCATTGCACTGTGAAAGTGGGTTTCAGCAATTCCAGATCCTCAAGCTGCCCCCCTGGCTATTCCTGCCCTCCCCAACTGGGCAGGAGGGCATGGAGGAGCAGAGTCCACACAGGCAAAAGACCCTGGGGGCTCCCGACTCAGCAGGCAATTGGCTTCTGTGCATTTCAATGTTCTCTCCTCCGAAACAGGGATGCAAACAGCTGCCCTGTCTGCTACAGCAGGTGGGAAGAGGAGGAGCATGCTGCAATCTGTGCGATGTCACTCAGTGCCAATGGCTGTCACCACGTGGCTACTCACACACACGGCTCTCCTGCAAGATCTACACTCCCCTCTCCCTCTGGGATGAAGACAGGAGGAGGCAGGGTCCCCAGCCCGCCACAGAATCCCAGAAGGCCGGTGTGGCAAGGCACCCTCGAGTCAACGCGCCTAACTCCCTTCATTCTTTTTCCATCTGAGCTCTTCAGTTGAGAGCATGCTTTGATTTAAGTGATCGTGCTTTTTAAAATCAATCTCTCTGAATAATCGTCTATCTGGTTTAGAGTACAACTGTCGTGGTAATGCGTAATGTGCTATCTTGCATTTCTGCAGCAATTATTCTTTCGTGAATTACTGGGTAACATCATTCCATGTGATTTTACAGAGCTCCCATCACATTATTTCTTTTTCCTTTGTGTAGATGCTGAGGAAAAAAAAAAAGCAAAAACATAACAATAGACCTAACCACCACCATTTCTAAATTCTTGTTTGCAGAGAAAATAGCTGGATAATATAAATTCATATTTGTGTAGCAGTCTAAAGTTTATAAACGGTGACTTCTTTTATCTAATTTAATCTTTACACCAACCATATTTTTTTCTTAGTTTTACAGCATAACAAACTGAGGTTTTCCCTGAGTCAGCAAGATAGTAGGTCTGACAAAAGACTCATATCCAGAATAAGAAATAAACTCCAAAAAATCAATCAGAAAAGGGCAGGCAATCCAATAGAAAAATGGGCAAAAGATGAACAAGTACTTTACCAAGAGGATATCAATAAATATCAGGTATCAGGTATTGACGATACCTGAAAATAACAAAGCTAACCCTTAAACAGAGTTTGCATTTCTAAATGTCACATGCACACGCAAACAACGCATTTTGGCTTCACGACAATAATCCAGCAAAATAAATACTATTATTTTTCTCATTTAATAATGGAGATTATGGGAGACCCCCCAAATTTAATTTTATATGTCTCTTTTCTGTTTGAATGCTTTGCTATGAGCAGGTATTACCTTTATAATCAAAGGAGAAGAGGAATGCATAAATATATCAATTATGAAACAAACAAGCTCCTGGCCCTAGGTCACACAGCTAAGTACAGAAACCTGTTTAAGAGGTTAGGGGGTTGGATTTCAGTTTCATAAAGTTTAGTTTTCAACACTTGTGTTTTGAACCATGATGTGATTCTGTCCTCCTTGTTGTAACAGCAAACACTGTGATTACGATCACGGAAAATAATTCCCTTTGGTAATTGTACAAGACAGAAGTTTTCAAAGTATGGGCTTGGAACCCCTGGGTTTCTGAAATGCTTTCAGAGGACCAGTGAGTCAAATCTTTTTTTCATAATGGTTAGACGTTATTTCCCTCTTTCATCCCCCTTTTCCCTTGAGTCTTCCATAGAGCTTTGCGGAGGCTACAGGACGTAGGGACCAGCAGCAGACTGAATGCAGAAGCTGGTCAGAGAGTCCAGATGTCTTCTATTACATGAGGCATTAAGGAGATTTGCAACAATAAAAAGCAACGCCACCCTTCCCACTGATTTCTTGGGTGAAAATATGGTTATTTTCCATAAAATGCTATTTATGTTAACATCTTGCTATTTATGGAATGGCCTTATTATATTAAGTGAATTACTGAACTTTAAAATGCTTCTTAGTTTTATCTCCAATGTGTTAAATATTGATAGATATAATCACATAAACAAAACTTAGACGATCTTCAATAACCTTAAGGAGAGCAACGGAGTCCTGAAGCCTGGATGTCTGAGAGCTGCTGATGGGGAGCTTGGCATTTCTAGGACCATCCTGGTCCTCGTACCACAGGGCCTGGCCCTCTCGGGATACAGAGCTCGGCTCTACCTCTGCTCACATTTTGGGATTGCTCAGGGTCTGTTTGTTGGGGACACAATGTGAAAACTATAGATATCACAGGCTCTGGGCTCTGCTATTCACTAGCCATGTGGGCTAGGGGTAGTCCCATCCCCTGAACTTTTCTGAGACTCAGTTCCCTTATTTGTAAAAACAAGGGTAATGGCTATCAATTGCTCTCTCTGCAGCATGCTGCAAGGACTGAATAGGTAGCAGGAAGAAAAGTGCCTAAGAGCTGGGTGCGGTGGCTCACGCCTGTAATCCCAGCACTTTGGGAGGCCGAGGCAGGCAGATCACGAGGCCAGGAGATCAAGACCATGGTGAAACCCCGTCTCTAATAAAAATACAAAAAATTAGCCAGGCGCGGTGGCAGGCACCTGCAGTCCCAGCTACTTGGGAGGCTGAGGCAGGAGAATGGCACGAACCTGGGAGGCGGAGCTTGCAGTGAGCTGAGATCGTGCCACTGCACTCCAGCCTGGGCGACAGAGCAAGACTGTCTCAAAAAAAAAAAGAAAAAGAAAAAGAAAAGTGCCTAAAATATAGCAAAATTCTCCACTGTTAAATTATCGGAAAAAAGTTCCTTTGATAGAAAGGTACTGAAAAGGCTAAGAGAATTGGCCCGAACTGGCAATATCTCCTCACTATCTGCGGCTGCCTATTTTTAGGGGTGGCACATAATTACTGGTTGGTTTTCTGTTTCTAATTTAACTGTGTAATAATTTGTTTTGATTCTCAGTTTATTCATTTAGCTCTGCAATGTTCCTTTTATTCTGTTATTTTATTGGCTCATCTTTGAAACCTGGTTGGTTTGGTTCCCACTGAAAATTAAGGCTTAGGAATTAAGTGTCTAGAGGTCAGCATTTAATATTCCCAGTGGGTTCATGGTTATTCTGCGATGCATCAATGTGCAGATGAGAATCTTTTCAAAAAGTGTGTGCAACCTGACTTCCTTCAAGCCTTGGATCCTGGCCTCATCCACCAGCTAGCCACCTTGGCAAAGGGTTAAGCTAAGGAACTTCACTATTTCTAGGATTCTGGAGCTCCTTAATCACAGCCGAACTGTTTACAGATATATGCTTATTTCTGACGGTACCGTTAAACCTGACAAATAGAGGAAATGCATTATGCTTTAAAACACAGCACCCCGAAGATCCTGAGATTGGAGACGTTGCTCCAAAGAGCCACTGAGGCAGAGACTGCAGTCTTTGGAAAAACTTCTGCCTCTAGAACTCCCCCAGCAGAGTGATTCTGAACTCTTTGATTCTATTTTTAACTACCAAAGTTAATCCTGCACAGTTCGAGAACACTGATTTCAAGAACAATGCAACGTATAAGGCTTAAGGGATTTAAAAAATCAGACCACAGTGTAATACGTGTATATTTATATACATATTTTTTTTCCTCCCAACAGGTCAGCATGTGATTCCTTGAGACATAATCCCAGGAAAGACCCATGATGACAAGATGGAAAACTGGCTGATCAGCCTGGCTCCTTTAGGGAGAATAAATGCCAGGTGAACAGAGGCAGGTGGGTTTCCTGAGCTTAGGACCTGGATCCGGGCAACACCACTGACTTTTGTTTCCCCTGTGAAATCCAGATCCAATTTGCCCAATGCCAGATTGAAGGGAGCAAGGCAGACCAAGGTGTTCAGCTGCCTGTGTGTGCAGGAATAAGAGAGCTTGCCCGGGGGAGGTGAGCCCCACCCAACCTGATGTCCACTTGGTTCTCGCTGGGTGGACTCCCATGCCCAGAGCTGCCCCATCCTTCTCAGGGAGGGAGGAAGAGTTCAAGCATGCACTTTTCACTGCAACTGAAAGGTTTCCTTTCCTTCTATGAGAAAGGGCCCCCTATCTCCCTCAAAGGACCTACCTCTTGGGGAATGAAGCCTGGAAGGTGGATCATGAGAGCAGACCCTAACAGAGAAGGAATCGATCTTGAATTAGCAGAGCTGACAATGGGTAGTGATAGGAAGATTGTGGAGTAGAGGAGAAAGAGGAAGAGAGATGCTGGGTTTCCGGCATACTGAGTGGAGCAGGAATCAAACTTCATCTGAACTACCCTTGAACAGAAAGGATAAATCTCCCTTTAAGTTTAAGCCATCATCCCAACTGAATCAGTTTTCAGGAATTTCCTTGAGTGTTTACAAGTTGTATCTCTCTGGACTAAAAGCAAACACCTATACACACAGCCAGACTCCCACAAATGCCTTGGTTACAAAATTTCTGTAATTTCAATATCAGGCTTTTTCAATGAATTGTCAGAAAGCTAGCTGCAACAAATCTCATCACAATTGGGGTCCTCTAAGGAACTGAGTTAGAGATAAGGAGACCCCAACAGAGCCCTTGGTATGGAACCGGTGCAAAGTGGGTTCCAAAGGCCAATAGAAAGGGAAGGGGATAAGATGAATGAATGGAAGTTAGGAGCAGGATTTAGAAGCAGTCATTTATTTTTCTTGGTTTTGTTTTTGTTATTTGATATTTCTAATACTTCTATAAATAATATAGGTTAATTGGCTTAAGAAACAAAGACAAAAATAAATCAGGCCACGAATCAGGAAAGTATAACATAAAAATAATGCATCTCTACTACATCACAGAAAATACGAATGAGGCATGGGCCAGATGAAAACAAATTGGAATGACAGCCACAAGAAGGAAGTATGAGTATGAATGAATGAATGATTAAATATATACATAAATAAAAATTTTAAAATAACAAGCACAAAGAAGAAAGGCAGCCAGGCATACACACACAACTAATATACAAAGTAGCCTGGAAAAAAGCCCAAATAAGAAGGGCATGCTTCTCATGAGTTCTTTATATTATACTATATAAGTCTTGGATCAAATTAAGCATGATTTCAAAGATGAGCTAATAAAATAACAGAATAAAAGGAACATTGCAGAGCTAAACAAATAAACTGAGAACCAAAACAAATTATTACGTAGTTAGATGAGAAACAGAAAGGAACAAAACAGACACAGCTAAAAAATTAAGTTACTGGCATGAAGGCAGGACCTGAGATAACCACGGTGTAAGATAATCACAGTGTCTGCAGAGCAAACACACCAAGAGATTACATCCATTACAGAAGTTGGAAATGGAAGTGAAACAAAGAAGCCATAGCTAGAGCTGAAATGGTGACTACAACACAGAGAAACTAGTTAAGTATGCCGGGATAATACATGGGGGCCCTGCTTCTGGTCCTAGCAAAACAGGAGACTCTATAATGTTAATACTATCCTGCTACAAACACCTGGAAATTCTGGAGAAAATCAAACAAATGTCTTTTTAAATGCTGATTTTGGCTCACAAGAAAGCACAAGAAATCCTTCAAAACAACAACAACAACAAAATCCAAGAGGAAACTGAAAAGAACATTGTAAGTACGTGAGCTGACACCATAGCAGAGTGCAGGAGTATGGAGACCAGTGGCCAGTGTTATTCACAGAGAGCCTAAACAATGCCTAAGTGGGACTATAGAAAAGATTCTCTTTCGTAGGTGGAGAGCTGAACCAAACCCCCCACCTACTTCTACCAGCATGGTCCAGGAAATTTGAAGAGACCATTGGCCAAGAAAGAAGCAAGTTAGTCTGTGTCATTCTGGGCTGAAAGTGGAGAACCAGGTCAGGGTACACTCTATTTCCTGAAAATGTATCAGCCTTCTTTCTGATGGAGAATTCAAATGTAACCAATTCACAAAGCCTAGGAACTTTGCAAGTCATGGCATTAGCTTAGAAGTTGTTCTAGACCAGTAAAACTTGAGGACCCAGACAGACGCAATGAGAACAAACAAATTAGCAAACCACAAAAAAGACAAAAGAAAGAAAATAATAATAAAAAATTGTTGCATAGAAAACACAATGATTATACCCTCCTGATCAAAAATACAAAATACATAAAGTATAACATTTTCCATGAGTGAAAGAGAGAAAACCAAGTCAGGAGGAATAAGCCCCCAAAAATACAGACAAGAGAAATATCAGAGGGATAATACTGAATAAATATGTTTAACGTGATTAAATGCACTACAGAAATCAAAAACATAGTAAAAGAATAAGATATTCTAGGGGTAAAAACGCAGATTTGGAAGAAAACAAAAGTAAGAGCTTTACAAAATGAAAAATTTAGTAACTGAAATAAAAGCTCAATGGGTGGGTTAAACAATGAATTGGAAAGAACAGAAATGATAATTAGTAAGCTGAAGACAGACTCAACAAAATGACCTAAAATGTAACTCAGAAAGATAAAGAGATGGAAAATGCGAATGCTTGAAAGACTTGAAGGACACAATGAAAAGATTCAATATGTGTATAAAATAGTTTCATAAAAGAAAGGTTAAAGAAATAATGGCTGAGAAATTTCCAGAATTGGCCAACTTTTCCTCAGATTAAGGAAGTATGAGTTCCTCAAAAATATAAGTATAAATCAAAGACTAATTCAAACCTCCATCATTTTTTAGCTCTGGCATGTAAATAGCTTAGAATTAATCACTCTCATAACAACAGAAAAAAAAAAATGAATGAAATGAAAAATCAATGACATTTATTGGACTCAGGAGGGACTGCTGCTGCAGGGTAAGTACCACACTGAAATATGGAGAGACATGAAATTCAGGGCACAGCCAAAATCTGCTCACTCAAAGCAGAAGCCACTGGAGCTATGAACTTGTGGTAATGCTTAAATGGTAATTTCAGTGAATCTCTGGTTGCTGAGTGTGAACCAGCAATGAATGAGAGTGAGAAGCCCCCAGACAGCCACAGTCTTGCTGAGGTCTCTACAATTTCATGGGTTTTATGTCTAGAAACTCCACCAGGTTCTCATAGTAAATGTGCAAGGAAGATCTCCTTGTGGCTCCAGCAAGAGAAGGGGAGAAGTAATCACTGGGAAACAGGTCACCCAGAGCCTTCTCCACAAAAAAGCCTACTCTCCAGGGTTTCTCAGAGCTTATCCCTGCTAGGGAAATTACACTGGTCCCACTCCAGCAGCCTGTAGCCTTTCTGTCTTACCTAAGAAGGGAAAAAGCTATACCACTGCTATACCACTAGAGAAACACTTGTGAAGGTCAGAGCCCAGACACACAGGCCTACTACAATGCTACCATGTAACATAGGATTACAGAACACTTCTTCCCCTCATCCCCACCTACCACCCCACCAACAGGGGTCCAGTATAACTACTGTGAACTACAGTCCAAAAAGCTGTAGATTCTCTGAGAAAGAGTACTTAATTAAGGAAGACAGACATCAAGAGGGAAGACAAAAACAGGAACACTAGAAGAACCTGAAGGCTCTGGCAGTTAAAGCTATAGCAAACATCAAATAAAGCCCAACTACTACCTGTCACATGAATTCGCACACTAAAAAGCTACTTATCTAAATTCATAATGTCATGACCATTTCTGCTTTATTACAGAAAAATTACAAGGCAATTAAAAGACAAGAAAAAACAGTCTGCAGAGACAAAGCAAACATCAGAACAGGACTTAGATATGATACAAATGTTGAAATTATCACATAAGAAATTTAAAATAATGTGATAAATATGCTAAAGGTGCTAAAGGAAAAATAAACAACATGCAAAAGCAGTTGGGTAACATCAGCAGAAAGAAACTCTCAGAAAGAATTGCAAGGAAATACTAGAAATCAAAACCAGTGTAACAGAAATAAAGAATGCCTGTATGCAATTTGAACATGTTGTGTCAAAAATGTAAGTTAAATGAAATTTAAGCCTTGTAAAGTTTCAAAAGAAAAAAGAAAGAAAGCGTTTGATGGCTTCATGAGGAGCCTGGACACAGCCAAGCAAGGAATCAGTGAGCTGGATAATGTGTCAACAGAAACTTCCAAAACTGAATTGCAAAAAGAAAAAAAAAACAGATTATCCAAAAATTGTGGAACAATTTTGAAAGGTATAACACATATATAGTTGAATCACCAAAAGCGAGAGCAGAGCAGAAAGAATAGTTGAAAGAATAATGGCTGAGAACTTCCCAACACCATTGACAGACACAAATCATAGATCCAAGAAGCTCAGTAGACACCAAGTAAAATAAATGTCTAAAAAATTCAACATAGATCTTATTCTTATCACAGAAATTAAATCAAAATGGATCATAAGCCTAGATGTAAAATATAAAATTCTAATACTAGAAGAAAAGACAGGATTAAATATACGTGACTTTGGGTTTGGTGATTATGGTTTTTCATACAACAGCAAAGGCATGATGATCCATGCAAAGAAAAAATTAGTAAGTTGGACTTTATTAAAATTAAAAACTGCTCTATGGAAGATACTGTTACAAGAATGAAAAGAAAAACTACAGACTGGGATACAATTTTACAAAATACATCTCTGATAAAGAACTTATATTCAAAATATAGGAAAGAAACCAGCAATACATTAACAAACAACCTAACTAAAAAATGGCCAAATGATATGAACAGGCAACTCACCAAAGAAGATGTACAGATAACAAATAAACATATTAAAAGATGCTTCACATCATGTTATCATGGACATGTAAATTATAACAATGCAATACCACCATATACCTATCGGATAGGCTAAAATCTGAAAAGTTCACATTACCAATTGCTGGGAGGATGGGGAGCAACAGGAAGGCTCGTTCATTGCTGGTAAGAATGCAAAATGGTACCACCACTTTGGAAGACGATTTGGCGGTTTCTTACAAAACTAAACCTAGTGTTACCATACGATACAACAACTATATTCCTAGATATTTACCCAATGATTCAAAAACACATATCTACAGAAAACCTGCACATGTTTATAGCAGCCTAATGCATAATCACAAAAACTGGATGCAATCAGGATGTCTTATAACAGGTGAATGGAAAAACAAACCATGGCACATCCACACAATGGAATATTATTCAAGTATAAAATGAAATGAGCTATCAAGCCATGAAAGATATAGGTGATTCTTAAATACACAGTGCTAAGTGAAAGAAGCCAGGCCGAAAAGGCTACATATTGTATCATTCCAATAAAAAGACATTCTACAAAAGGCAAAACTTTAGAGACTGTAAATTTATCAGTGGTTGCCAGTGGTGGGGGTTAGGAGTAGACAAATGGAGCACAGAGTACTTCTAGGGCAGAGAATTCTGTATCATATTGTAATGGTGAATACAAGACATTAAGCATTGTCAAAACTCATAGAACTTTATAATACAAAGAGTAACCCAAAATGAATGCAAAATACAAAACAAATACTTAGGAGATTCGGTGATCCAGAATGGAATACAAAATGTAACAAAAGGATTCAAATGCATTACAAAAGTATAAAACGACCTTACTGACATGACTGGGAGAAAAAGGTGCTGGTCTAAGTAACTTTGAAACTGGGTGTATTCTGCAAGGAACTGTGTATCAGCATTGCACTCTAGTTGATGAAGTTGCTCCTCACAGAGTTGTAAGTTACCAATTCTGAAACTACTGTACATGTATATTGCAATCGAACAGTTAAGTAAATGGATGCCATGTGTAGAAATCAGTTTTCTCACTTTAGAGTGAGAGTTGGAGACTTAAGCATGAATTCACGTTTAGCTTAATAAGGATACATACGGTTACATACAGAAATACTTACAGATATTTCTGTATATATGAACTACTATATACACATATAACTCTTTGCTCTGTCAGAAAGGGCCTAGAAATGATGACGCCCCAATGGCAATGAACCCACCTAGCACCCAAACCTTGCTTTCTAATCATTCACCAATACAAGGAACCAGGATTTCTGGAGAAAGGGCTGATTCTAGGTGTTGGGCAGGAAATATACCAGATGAACCTGGAACATACTGTAGAGCCAGAAAGAAGGAAAATGAGTGAAAAAAATAAAATAACACCAGTGCTGTTAAGCCAGAGGGATACTGCAGCAAATTTAACAAGTACCTAGTGGTAAAAAACAGTAAACAATTTGAACAACAAAATAAGGTAATACTGGATTACACTCCAAAATATAAAATAAATACTGCTGAGTCCACACTAACATAAATAAATGATTAAATAAATAAATGGGGTGAAGGAGGCAAACTCTCCATGAAGAAGAATTTCAATTTATGTAGACACTTTGCCTTCATGGAGGTGAAACACTACTTTCCACTCCCTAATTTGGGCTGTGCATAGTGACTTCCTGGGCTGTGCATAGTGACTTCCTTCCAAAGAGTACAGTATATAAATAGGGGAAAAAGAGTAACTTTGCAGTCGAGGGACCTGACGAATACCATTTTAAGCCATTTGATTAAGGCCCACAGCAACAGTAAGTCATATTGATATTATGCACCCTGGATATGATATGATAACATATAATACTCTGCTGTCTGTCTACCCCAAAACACATTACTCCATTCTAACTTGGATAAAAACATCCAACAAATCCCAATGAAGAGACATGTTACAAAATATCTGACCAGTGCCCTACTCAAAACTGTCGAGATCATCAGAAACAAGGAAAGGCTGAAAAACTGTTACAATGAAGAGGAGCCTAAAAAGACACAAGGACTAAATGCTACATGGACTCCTGGATGGGATCGTGGAACAGAAACAGGAAATGGGATTTAAAAAGCCAATAAAATGTGAATAAAGTACGGACCTCAGTTTAAAATATCTATGAATATCCAATTACTAATTGTAACAAACAGCATCATACTGATGCAAGAGGATACTCACAGGGGAAACTGTGTGGCCTCCAGGGAAACTCCCTGCAGTACCTTCAAGTTTTCTTTAAAGATAGCTGTTAAAGTAAACTTGAAAAATAAAAGTGTTTATCTTTTTTTTTTTTTTTTTTTTTTGAGATGGAGTCTCGCTCTGTCACCCAGGCTGAGTGCAGTGGTGCAATCTTGGCTCACTGCAACCTCCGCCTCCAGGGTTCACGCCATTCTCCTGCTTCAGCCTCCCGAGTAGCTGGGACTACAGGCGCCTGCCACCAGGCCCAGCTAATTTTTTGTATTTTTAGTAGAGACGGGGTTTCACCATGTTAGCCAGGATGGTCCCGATCTCCTGACCTCATGATCTGCCCGCCTCAGCCTCCCAAAGTGCTGGGATTACAGGCGTGAGCCACCGTGCCTGGCCAAAAGTGTTTATCTTTAAAGAAAACTTGAAGATACTACAAGGGAGTTTATTTATAATATGTTTATTTATAATTTTAAAATTAACTAAGTCACATTGTAGTAAAACGATAGAATATGAAAAAGAATATCTTAAAAGTACAGAATCAAACAGTTTATCCACAGGGTAACAACGACTGGCCAGGGAGCAGATGGCAAGCCACAATAAGAGCAGCCAGGAATCAATGAAGTAACATGTTCAAATTATGGAAAGTAATTATGGACTTCAACTTTGGAATCTAAGACCAGCTACACTGCCGTCCAAGAGTAAAGTTAAAAGAAAAACGTTTTTCAGATAAACAAAGACAATGTCATTACTGACACTACTTCATTGGAGTAATTACTATCAGGTGTCCTCCTGGAAGGAGAAACTGAATTCAGAAGAATGGGATACAAAAATTGGAGTCAGCATAATTGAAACTCTGAAAATACTTTTAAATACAAACTCTTTTCAGGTTATTTTTAACATACACTCAAGGGATAATTCCAATTCCACTGTTAATCCTCTAAGCATTTATTCTAGTTTCACATGTCATCAAATCTAAGATGCTATTCAATTGTAAGACATGCCCGATTTTAAATAAAAAAGTTAAAATGTGAAACTAATGTGCATCTTAGAATGAATGGAATATGGTGCTAAGTTTCTTTGTATGCATAAGGATAAAGATACAGAAAATATATAAAGTAGCAGAGACGGCTAATGATCTATCACAATGTCAGGCACTCTAATGTTTGAAAAACATTAATTGGGATAAAGGGCCTACATGGGGGGTTTCTGCCAGAATCAACATTGATATTTTTATAAATTATCTCAAAGGCAGGAAACTTTCTAAGTTTGCAGATGCTCCTAAGCTTATTTAAATAGCAAAGACTACTAGAAGTGACCTACAGGGACATGTTGCTGAAATATAAGAATTAGGGGGAGGCCGGGTGCAGTGGCTCCCACCTGTAATCCCAGCACTTTGGGAGGCTAAGGCAGGTGGATCACCTGAGGTCAGGAGTTCGAGGCCTGGCCAACATGCTGAGACCCTAGCTCTACTAAAAATACAAAAATTCACTGAGCGTGGTGGTGGGTGCCTGTAATCCCAGCTACTCAGGAGGCTGAGGCAGGAGAATTACTTGAACCCAGGACGCGGAGGTTGCAGTGAGCTGTGATCGTGCCGTTACACTCCAGCCTGGGCCACAAGAGCAGAATTCCGTCTCAAAAAAAAAAAAAAGAGTCAGAGGTCAGCCGATGAGCATAGGTATGAGTGCAGGCCGTGCAGGCAGCGCCAGCCTGTCCTCGTGGCCACCTTCTAATGCACTAGCATGAGCAGTCAGCGAGGCTGCACTCGAGTAAAGTAGCCTGAGGAGTTTCCCAGGGCAGCTGGTCCAAACTGTCTTCCTCTTCAGGACAATTCTTGGACAAAATGTCCACCACTGGTGATTCACATTTATTAAAGACTTGCACATTTATTAAAAATATCTGATGGAGAGGAAGGAACATTGAACATGATATGCCAAAGCTTCAGTCCTCTACTGGAGCCACCACGGTAAATCCAACCCTGACCTAAAGGGGCTCTGCTCTTTGCCCAAAGTGCATGTTCTGAGACTGTATGTGCTCATGCACATTGCCGCCCAGTCAGTCCCCAGTGCTGAACTCCAAACGAGGAACACACTGGTGAGAGAGAATTCAATGGAAGTCCTACCTTGTGAAACCAGGCTGGGGTCACCCTAAATCTATGGTCTAAGAGAGCCCTATGTAAATTACAGACATTAAACAGAAAGAACTATAACCCCTCCTACCAATTCTTAGTTCATATTGCTGTCACAAGGAGTCTAAGAAGTCCTGTAGAATCTGATTAAACTTGCAGTTTTCCAACATGTTTGTTTTTCCGTAAAATTTATAAATAGCGAGTTCCATACAGACTTTTAGGCTCTAATCCTTCTCTTATAGACTTGTAGGAAGATAATAAATTACTGGTGTCCAGAAACACCTTGGCAGTTCATTCTAATTAATCAAACAGAGTTTTAACACAAGGAAAACTATACCTCTCCCTTCTTCAGCCCAAAATTCCATTGCCCATCTAATCTAGGGCTTATACTGATGAATAGTGAGGTGCTAAAAAATCAAATACAGACCATTCATAAACCCTTTTCTTCTTCTGAAAAGGAGAATGAAGTGACTCCTGACATGAGGCCACTACACCAATTACCAAGAAAAATGTTCCTATCACAAAATCAGGAACCAAATTGCGTTGGAACTTTTTCATAATTTAAGTGATTAAATAGTTTGCATAAATTTCCAAAGTAATTCCTTCCTTCATAAATGACCTTTTGTTATATATGAGCCACTTAATATGTCAGGGAAATATTTTTTCATTATAAACCCTGAACTGGCTAGGAATAAATTGCTATGTGTAGATGACGTCCAAGTTTGAATCTATATAATAGTTAACAGTTGAATTTCTGTCCCACACCATCCACCCTCCTTATCTCATCCCTTCACATGTAGCCCAAAATAAATTTGCACTAGTTTTTACATTTATTATAACCTAGAACAACAATGTTTCTTTGCAATTTGATAAAGTGTCTTGGTCTGTTTTGTGTTGCTGTAACAGAATATCATGAAGGGAGTAATTTATAAAGAAATTTATTTCTCACAGTTCTGGAGGCTGGGAAGTCCAATTTCAAAGTGCTGGCATCTGGCAATGGGGCTTCTTGCTACAACATCCCATGATGGAAGACAGAAGGGCTAGAGAGTACTCGAGAGAGAGCAAGAGGGGACCAAACTCACTTTTTTAACACATCCACTCTTGAGATAATTTATCTCCCCCTCTCACAATACTCACTCCTACAATAACAATATTAATCATTATTAGCTAATCACCTCCTATTAGGCCCACTTCCCAGTACTGTTGCATTAGGAATTAAGATCCCAACATATGAACTTTGGGGGACACATTTAAACCATAGCACCAAGGAATACATTTGTCCTAATTTATATTTTATAGAAAGTCAGGTTATCATGAAAGATTCTCCCAAGTAGCTGGGACTACAGGTGTGCACCACCACACGAGGCTGATTTTTGTATTTTTAGTAGGAGACAGTGTTTCATCATGTTGGCCAGGCTGGTCTTGAACTCCTGACCACGAGTGATCCACCTGTCTCGGCCTCCCAAAGTGTTGGTATTACAGGCATGAGCCATCATGCCCAGCCTGAGCTACTAATTTCACATTTAAGAAATTATACTAAAAAACAGTGATCATTAACAAAAATAGAAACCCAAAGATGTTCATTATAATGTTATTTATAGGGCTTGCAATATTATCAACAAAGTTAACTGCCCAGCAATACATCATTGCTTATACATAAAATGGAATATTATATAATTAGTATGTTTTTTCAAAATAATCATATTAAAAATAAGATATACAGTGGAAAGAAGACATTGCATAAAGTTGTACTAATTGCATTATCCAACTGTTGAAAGAACTGTTAAGTTCTATTCTATGATCCCCATATTTTACATCCTGTATTGCCACAAATATGATCTGATTATTTTCATGCTGAGTTGTTCTCTAAAACATTCTCATCTTACATATAACCTGCTTTACTAAGAATTACAGGTGGAGATTGTGAACACAAAGATAGAATAGAAATTACTCAATTTGAAAAACAAAGGTAAAATAAACTGAAAAAAAAGTCAGAGACTTATGGGACTACAAAAAAAATCTAATAATCATATAATTGGAGTCCTAGATAAAAGAAGAAGGTGGAGTTGAAAAAGTACATGAATAATGACCAACACTTCACAAATTTGATAAAAGACACAGATCTATAGATTAAAGAAATGAACAAACCCCAAACAAGATAAATCCAAAGAAATCTCCACCACGACACATCACAGTCAAATTTCTAAAAATTAAGGACCACACAAACACCTTAAAAACAGAGAAAGAAAAATGACACATTACCTATACTGCAAAAACAATTCAAATGACAAAGTATTATTCATTGGAAACCACAGAGTTCAGAATGAAGAAAAACAACCTTTTCAAATGCTGAAAAAAAGATCACCTCAGAATCCTATATACAGTGAAATATATTGGTCAAAAATGAAAGAAAAATGAAGAAATTCTCAGACTGAGGCAACTAAAAGATTGTGTTGCCACCACATCTACCTTCAGAAGAATAGCTAAAGTTCAATAGATTGAAAGGAAACATTAAAAGAAGGAAGAGTGGAGAGAAAGCAGGGAAAAATATGGCAAGTAAAAATATGGGTAAATATAATGGAACTTTTTTTCTCTTGTTGAGTATTCTAAATTATGTTTGTTGGTTGAAGGAAAAAGTATAAAACTGTCTGAGATGGTTTTAATGTATGTGGAGAAAATAGTAAAGGTAACTACAGGAGAGGATAAAGGGAGGTAAAGTTTCTATGCTGCATGCAAACTGGTAAAATAACATTAGTAGACAGGAATAAGCTATTCATAAATAATATAATACCTAGAAAAACGACTAATATTCAAACAATAGAGTATTACTCATTGGAATAATTTATATATACACAAAGAGTTCCACTGGGACACACTATGAATAAATCAAATGGAATTCTTAAAAATGTTCAAATAGCCTATAGGAAAGCAGGTAAAATATAAAAAAGATAAACAAAATACAGAAATAAAATGGCACACATAAGCCCCTAACATACCAATAATTACATTAAATGTAAATACTCTAAGTACAGTAATTTATTTATTTTTATTTTTCAAATTTAATTTTATATTTTAAGTTTCGGGATACATGTGCAGGTTTGTTACACAGGTAAACATGTGCCATGGTGGTTTGCTGCACCTATCAACCCATCACCTAGGTATTAATCCCAGCATGCATTTGCTGTTTTTCCTGATGCTCTCCCACTGCCAGGACCCCACCCGACAGGCCCTGGTGTGTGTTGTTCCCTGCTTTACCCCATGTCCATGTGTTCTCATTGTTCAGCTCCCACTTATGAGAATATGCAGTGTTTGCTTTTCTGTTCCTGCATTAGTTTGCTGAGAATAATGGCTTCCAGCTTCATCCATGTACCTGTAGAGGACATGATCTCATTTCTTTTTATGGCTCTGTAGTATTCCATGGTGTATATGTACCACATTTCTTTAGTCTATCATTGATGAGAATTTGGGTTGATTCCATGTCTTTGCTATTGTGAATAGTGCTACAATGAACATACACATGCATGTATCTTTGTAATAGAATGATTTATATTCCTTTGGATATATACCCAGTAATGGGACGGCTGAGTCAAATGGTATTTCTGGTTCTAGGTCTTTGAGGAATTGCCACACTGTCTTCCACAATGGTTGAACTAATTTACATTCCCACCAACAGAATACAAGCATTCCTATTTCTCCACAGCCCTGCCAGCATCTGTTGTTTCTTGACTTTTTAATAATCGCCATTCTGACTGGCATGAGTTGGTATCTCATTGTGGTTTTGACTTGCATTTCTCTAATGATTCGTGATGTGGAGCTTTTTTTTCATATGTTTGTTGCCCACATAAATGTCTTCTTTTGAGAAGTGTCTGTTCTTGCCTTTCGCCCATTTTTTTAATGGGGTTGTGTTTTTCTTGTAAATTTGTTTAGTTCATTGTAGATTCTGGATATTAGACCTTTGTCAGATGGACAGATTGTAAAAATTTTCTCACATTCTATAGGCTGTCTGTTCACTGTGATGACAGTTTCTTTTGCTGTGCAGAAGCTCTTTAGTTAGATCCCATTTGTTAATTTTTGTTTTTGTTGCAATTGATTTTGACGTTTTCAACATGAAATCTTTGCCCATGCCTACGTCCTGAATGATAGTGCCTACATTTTCTTCTAGGTTTTTATATTTTAGGGTTTTACATTTAAGTCTTTAATCCACCCTGAGTTAATATTTGTATATGGTGTAAGGAAGGGATCCAGTTTCAATTTTCTGCATATGGCTAGCCAGTTCTCCTAGCACCATTTATTAAATAGGAAATCCTTTCCCCATTGCTTGTTTTTGTCAGGTATGTAGAAGATCAGATGGTTTTAGATGTGTGGTCTTATTTCTGAATTCTCTATTCTGTTCCATTGGTCTATGTGTCTGTTTTTGTGCCAGTACCATCCTGTTTTGGTTACTGTAGCACTGTAGTATAGTTTGAAGTTGGGTAGAGTGATGCTGCTCCAGCTTTGTTCTTTTTTGCTTGGAATTGCCTTGGCTGTAAGGGCCCTTTTTTGGTTCAATATGAATTTTAAAGTAGTTTTTTTTTTTCTAATTTTGTGAAGAATGTCAATGGTAATTTAATGGGAATAGCATTAAATCTGTCTACTTTGGGCAGTATGGCCATTTTCATGATATTGATTTTTCCTATCCATGAGCATAGAATGCTTTTCCATTTGTTTGTATCCTCTCTGATTTCCTTGAGCAGTGGTTTGTAGTTCTCCTTGAAGAGGTCCTTCACTTCCCTTGTTAGCTGTATTCCTAGGTATTTTATTTGCTTTGTAGCAATTGTGAATGGGAGTTCATTCATGATTTGGCTCTCTGTCTGTTGTTATATAGAAATGTTTGTGACTCTTGCATATTGATTTCCTGTCCTGAGATTTTGCTGAAGTTTCTTATCAGCTTAAGGAGATTTGAAGCTGAGACAACAGGGTTTTCTAGATATAGGATCATATCATCTGCAAACAGAGACAATTTGACTTCCTCTCTTCCTATTTGAATACCCTCTACTTCTTTCTCTTGCCTGATTTCCCTGGCCAGAATTTCCAATACTATGTTGAATGGGAGTGGTGGGAGAGGGCATTCTTGTCTTGTGCTGGTTTTCATGGGGAATGTTTCCAGCTTTTGCCCATTCAGTATGATATTGGCTGTGGGTCTGCCATAAATGGCTCTTATTATTTTGAGGTATGTCCCATCAATACCTAGTTTATTGAGAGTTTTTAACATGAAGGGATGTTTAATTTTATCAAAGTCCTTTTCTGCATTTATCGAGATAATGAAGTGGCTTTTGTCTTTAGTTCTGTGTATGTGACGAACTACATTTATTGATTTTCCTATGTTGAACCAACCTTGCATCCCAGGGATGAATCTGACTTGATCATGGTGGATAAGCTTTGTGATGTGCTGCTGGATTTGGTTTGCCAGTATTTTATTGAGGGTTTTTGCATCGAAGTTCATCAGGGATATTGGCCTGAAGTTTTCTTTTTTTGTTGTATCTCTGACAGGTTTTGGTATCAGGATGATGCTGGCCTCATGAAATGAGTTAGGGTGGAGTCCCTCCTTTTTAATTGTTTGGAATAGTTTCAGAAGAAATGGTACCAGGTCCTCTTTGTACCTCTGGTAGAATTAAGCTATAAATCCATCTGGTCCTGGGCTTTTTTTTTTTTTTTTTGGTTGGTAGGCTTTTATTACTGCCTCAATTTCAGAACTTGTCATTGGTCTATTCAGGGATTTGACTGTATCCAGGTTCAGTCTTGGGAGGGTGTATGTGTTCAGGAATGTAACCATTTCTTCTAGGTTTTCTAGTTTTAAATAAAGTAATTTAATACACGTTGGCAGAGACTAGAAAAACAGGTCCCAATAGTCTTTAAAAGACATGATGCTGAAATAACTCACATCCACATACGAAAAAATAAATGTAGATACAACCTTACATCCTTCACAAAAATTAACTCAAAATGGATCACAGACCTAAATGTAAAATGCAAAACTATAAAACTAGAAGATAACACAAGAGAAAACCTACATGACTTTGGTATGGTGATGACTTTTTAGAAGTAACACCAAAGGATGATCTACGAAAGAAAGAATTGATAGACTGGACTTCATTAAAATTAAAAACTTCTCCTCTGCAAAAGAAAATTTCAAGATAATGAGAAGCCAAGTCACAGAATGGGAGAAAGTAATTGAAAGAGACAAATCAGATAAAGGACTGTTATACAAAAACATCAAACAGTGCTTAAAATTCAACAAAAAGAAAACAAGCAACCCAATTTAAAAATAGGCCAAAGACCTTGCTATAGTTTGTCTGATCCCTCCAAATCTCATATGGAAAATTGATCCCCAACACTGGAGGTGGCACCTAAGGGGAAGTGTTTGGGTCACGGGGCAAATCCCTCATGAATGGCTTGGTACTATCCTCCTGGTAATGAGTTACCACTGTTTTAGTTCCCATAAGAGCAGTGAGTGCTAGTTGTTAAAAAGAGCCTGTCACCTCTTTCTCTTTCTCTCTTGCTTCCTCTCTTATCATGTGATCTCTACACATGCTCCTCCTCCTTCACCTTCTGCTATGAGTAGAAGCAGACTGAAGCCCTCATCAGAAGCAGATGATGGTGCCATACTTCCACAGCCTGTAGAACTGTAAGCCAAATAAAACTCATTGCTTTATAAATTACCCAGCCTCAGGTATTCCTTTATAGGAACACTAAATGAACTAAGACAGATCTTAACTGATACTTCACCAAAGAAGACATACAGATCAACATATGAAAATATGTTCCACATCATATGTCATCAGGGAAATGCAGAGTAAAACAACAATGAGATACCACTACACATTTATTGAAATGGCCACAATCCAGAACACTGGCAACACCAAATGCTGGCAAGGACAAACAGAAACAGGAATTCTCATTTATTGCTGGTGAGAACAGAAAATGGTACAGGCACTTGGAATGACAGTCTAGGATTTTCTTACAAAACTAAACATACTCTTATCATTTAATCCAGCAATTGCCCTCTTTGGTATTTACCCAAAGGATTTGAAAACATATGTCCACACAATACCTATACACAGATGTTTATAGAAGCTTTATTCATAATTGCCCAAAACTGGAAGCAACCAAAATGTCATTCAGTAGGTAAATGGGTAATCTGTGGTACATCTGGACAATGGATTATTATTCAACACTAAAAAAAAAAAGAGCTATCAAGCCATAAAAAGACATGGAGGAACTTTAAATGCATATTACTATGTGAAAGAAGTCAAATCTGAAAAGGCTACATTCTGTATGCTCCCAACTGTGGGACCATACATTCCCAGAGCTGACATTCTGGAAAAGGTAAAATTATAGATACTATAAAAAGACCAAGGGTTTTCAAGAGTTGGGTGGAGCAAGGGATGACTAGGTGGAGCAGAGAAGACTTGGGGGGCAGTGAAACTATTCTGAATGATATTATAATGGTAGATACAGGTCATTATACATTTACCCTAACCTACAGAATGTACAACACCAAGAACAAACACTAATGTAAACTATGAATTTTGGGTGACAATGATGTGTCAGTGTAGGTTTGTCAATCGTAACAATGTACCACTCTGGTCAGGGATGTTAATAATGAGAGAGATTATGCATGTGGGGTGACACAGGATATGTGGGAAATCTTTGTACTTTTGTTCAATTTTGTTGTAAACCTAAAACTGCTCTAAAAATAAAATCTACTAAAAACAGCAACAAAAAAGCATGACCAAACTATAAGCTGTCTACAAGAAACTTATATCAAATAAAACAATACACACGATTTGAAAATAAAACAATAGAACAAAATACAGCATGTAAACCTTAATCTAAATAAATCTGTTGTGGCCTGATATAATATCAAATAAAGCATTCAGAGCAAAGAAAATTACCATAGATAGGGAGAGACAATATCTGACGATAAACAGGCCAATCTGCCAAGAAAACACAGCAATCTTAATTGTGTGTCATCAAACTTCAAAACACATAGATGACAAAACTTACAAAATTGAAAGGAGAAACAGAAGCATCCACAATTATAGCTGGAGATGTTTATACTTTGTCTCTCCACAATTTAAAAGAGAAAGAGACAGAAAATCAGCAAGGATACAGACAAACTTAACAATATCAACCAACAAGATATAACTAAAATTTACACAACACCCCAATGAACAAAAGCAGAAAATACTCTTTTCACGTGGCCATGGAGTACATACCAAAATGTGCCATACTCTGGACCATAAAACTCAAAAATGTAGAATAACTGAAATAACACAAAGTATAATTTGGAATCAAATTAACAATGGAAGAATAATAGGAAAATATCCAAAGGCTAAAATATTGAAAAAACACACATTCTAAGTAATCTGTAGGTCAAAAAGAAAGAATCAAGATAATTTTTAAAAATATATTTTGAATATGAAAATACAACATATTAAAATTTGTGAGATAGAAAGCAAGCAATGCTGAAGGAAATTTACAATAATAAATGCATATATGAGAAAAAAGGAAAAGACTCAAAAAATAATATAAGCTCCTATCTGAAGAACCTACAAAAAGAGAAAAAAAAATTTCCCAGAGAGCAAGAAGGATGAAGGAAAAAATAGAGGTAAGAGCAGAAATCAATGACATTGAAAGCAAGCAATAGAGAAAATCAATGATACAAAGAGCTGGTTCTCTAAAAAGAACAGTAACATTGAAAAACCTTTAGCGAGACTAATAAAGAAAAAAGAGAGAAGATTCAAATAAGCAGCATGAGGACTAAAATAGAGGATATGAATGCAGATCCTGCAGATATCAAAGGATAATAAGAAAGTACTATGAAGAATTTTACACTCATAAATTGGACGATTTAGACGAAATGAATAAATCCCTCAAAAAAGACAAATGATTACAACTCACCTAATACAAAATAAATAATTTTAAAAGTCCTATAACATTAAAGATGCTGAAATTGTAATTTTAAAACTCTTAAAAATAAAGTCTCTAAGCCCAGACGATTTCACTGTATCAAATGTTTAAAGAATAATTTTAACACCAATTCTACACCATTGCTTCCACAATTTGAAAGAGGAAACACTTCTCAATTCATTTATTAAGCCAGTATTACCCTGCTTACAGAAACAAAGAAAGTATAAAAAAGAAAATATAGATGAATATCTCTCATAGACACAAAAATCCATAATAAGTGTTAGCACATTGAATTCAGCAATATATACAAAAAAATTATGTTCCATGACCAAACCAGGGTTTATTCCAGGGATTTAAGGCTGGTTTAATATTTGAAAATCAATCAATATAAAACTTAAATAGAAAAGGCAAAAGAAGAAAAACTACACAAAAAAATTCATATCAAATAATGTGATTCTGGCCAGCCGCGGTGGCACATGCCTGTAATCCTAGCACTTTGGGAGGCCGAGGTGGGTGGATCACCTGAGGTCAGGAGTTCAAGACTAGGCTGGCCGACATGGTGAAACCTCATCTCTAATGAAACTACAAAAAATTAGCTGGGCGTGGTGGCGGATGCCTGTAATCCCAACTACTCGGGAGCCTGAGAATCACTTGAACCCAGGAGGCGGAGGTTGCAGTGAGCCGAGATCATGCCACTGCACTCCAGCCTGGGCAACAAGAGGGAGACTCTGTCTCAAAAATAATAATAATAATAATAATAATAATATTAATAATGTGATTCATATCAAGAGCCGCAGAAAAAACCATCTGACGAAATTCAAGACCTATTCATTATAAAACTCAAAAAAGTCGGAATAAAGGCAAACTTCCTCAACTTGATAAACAGCATTTACAAAACAGTTATAGCTACAGTTATATTTAGTAGTAAAATAATCAATAATTTCTTCTTAAAATAGGAAACAAGGCAAAGACGTTTGCTCTCTCTACTTTTATTCTATTTTCTTGAACTTATTGCACTGGCTAAAACTTCTAACACTATGTTATGTTATGTTATACTGTTAGAAGTTTTAGCCAGTGCAGTAAGTTCAAGAAAAGGCAATGAAACACATACAGATGGAAAGGAAAGAAATAACACTGGCTGTTTGCAGAAGACATAATTGTCTGCATAGAAAATCCCAAAGAATCCACAAAAACAAAACAAAAACAGAATAAGTGAGTTTAGCAAAGCTGCAGGATACAAAATTAACATACCAAAAATCAACTTGATTTATATACACCAGCAATGAGCATATGGACATCAAAATTAAATATACATTAACATTTACAATTTTTAACAATAAGAAGGAAGGAAAGAAGGAAGGGAGAAAATGGGAACAGGAAGAAGGAGGACAATGAAGGAAGGGAGAAAATGGGAACAGGAAGAAGGAAAACAATGAAGGAAGACCAATGTATTAGTCCCTTTTGCATTGGTAAAAAGGAATACCTGAGACTGGGTAATTTATAAAGGAAAGAGATTTATTTGGTTTCTGGTTCTGCAGGTTGCCCAAGAAGCATGGTGCCAGCATCTGCTTCTGGTGAAGCCTCAGGAAGCTTAAAATCATTGTGGAAGGCAAAAGGGGAGCAGGTGTGTCATATGGCAAAAGAGGGAGCAAGATAGAGGGCAAGTGGTGCTAGCCTCTTTTAAACAACCAGTTCTTGCATGAACTTATTACAGTGGGGAGAGCAGCAAGCCATTCATGAGGGATCCATCCCCACGACCCAAACACCTTCCACCAGCCCCTGCTTCCAATATTGAGGATCACATTTCAACATGAGATTTAGAAGGAACAAATACCCAAACCATATCATTCTGCACTTGGTCCCCTAAATCTCTTGTCCTTCTCCTATTACAAAATATAATCATCCCTTCCAAATAGTCCCCAAATGTCTTAACTTATTCCAGCATTAACTCAATCAAAAGTCCAAAGTTTCATCTAAGGCTCAAGGCAAATTTCTTTGACCTATGAGCCTGTTAGATCACAAACAAGTTATTTGCTTTCAAGAAACAATGGTGGTACAGGCATTTGGTAAACATTCCCATTCCTAAAGGGAGAAATCAGCCAAAAGAAAGGGGCAATAGGCCACACACAAGTCTGAAACCCAGCAGGGCCAACATTAAACCTTCAAGCTCCAATATAACCTCCTTTGACTCCATGTCCCGCATCCTGGGTACACTGTTGTGAGAGGTGAGCTCCCAAGGCCTTGGAAAGCTCTGACCCTGTGGCTTTGGAGAGTGTGCCCTCTCTGTGGCTGCTCACACAAGTTGGAGTTGACTGCCTGCAGCTTTGCTGGGCTCAGGGTGCAAGCTGACAGTGGCTCTACCATTCATGGGTCTGGCGGATGGTTGCCCCCTTCCTACAGCTCCAGTAGGCAGTGACCTGGTGGGGACTCCATGTGAGGGCTCCAACCCCATCTTTCCCCTCAGCACTACCCTATTAGACGCCCTCCATGGTAGCTCCACCCCTGCAATAGGCTTCCACCTGGGCACCCAGTGTTTTCCATACATCCTCTGAAAGCTAGGTAAAAGCTGCCAAGCTTCCTTCAATTTTGCATTCTGTGCACCTGCAGACTTAGTACCACATGGTACCACCAAAGCTTACGGCTTATGTTCTCTGAAGCAGTGGCTCAAGCTGTACCTGGAGCCCTCTGTGCCATGACTGGAGCCAGAGCTTCCAGGATCACGGATGCAGTGTCCTAAGGCTGTGCAGGGCAGCAGTGCCTCAGCTCTGGCCTCAGAAACCAGTCTTTCCTCCCAGGCCTCTGGACCTGTGATGGGAACTTCTGTCCCAAAGATTTCTGAGACCCCTTCAAGGCCTTTTCCCCATTGTCTTGGCTATTAGTGCTTGCCTCCCTTTTAGTCATGCAAATCTCTTTTGGGAGAAGTTGCTCCACTAGTGCTTGTAGTCCTCTCCTGACACAATCTGCTTATTGTCCTCTCCTGAAAATGCTTTTTCTTTCACACAGCCAGGCTGCAAATTTTCTAACTTTTACACTCTGCTCCCCTTTTAAATGTAACTTCAAACTCTGAGTCATTTCTTCGCTCCTGCATCTGACAGTAGGCTGTTAGAAGCAGCCATGTCACCTCTTAAATGCTTTGCTGCTTAGAAATGTCCTTTGCCAGATGCCCTAGGTTATCACTCTTAAGTTCAACTTTCCATAAATCCCTAGAACATGAATACAATGCAGCCTAGTTATCTGCTAGGGTGTAACAGGAGTGCCCTTACTCGTTTTTAATAAATTCCTCATTTCTATCTGAGACTTCATCAGCCTGGTTTTCACTGTCCATATTGCCATCAGCATTCTGGTCACAACCATTTAACCAGTCTCTAAGAAGTTCCAAACTTTCCCTAATCTTCCTGTCTTCTAAGTCCTCCAAACTCTTCCAACCTCTGCCCATACCAAGTTCCAAAATTAATTCCTCATTTTCAAGTATCTTTTATAGCAACACCCCACTCCTCAGTACCAATTTACTGTTAGTCCATTTTGTGCTGCTATAAAGGAATACCTGAGACTGACTTATTGAGAAAAAAAAAAAAGAGGCTTATTTGGCTCACAGTTCTGCAGGCTGTACGAGAAGCATAGTGCCAGCATCTGTTTCTGGTGAAGCCTCAGGAAGCTTATAATCATGGTGGAAGGTGAAGGGGAGCAGGTGTGTCACGTGGTGAAAGAGGGAGCAAGAGAGAGAGGAGGAGGTGCCAGGCTCTTTTGAACAACCAGCTCTTGTATAAACTCATTATACTGGGGAGGGTAGCAAGCCATTCATGAGGGATCTGCTCCAATCATCCAAACACCTCCCACCAGGCCCCACCTTCAATACTGGGGATCACATTTCAACATGAGATCTGGAGGGGACAATCCATATCAAATGGCTTAGGTGTAAATCTAACGAAGTGTGTACTTGACTTGTATATTGAAAATTACAAACACCAATGACAGGAATCAAAGAAGAAATAAACAGACATATTCACAAACTGAAATAATATAATAAATATGCTAACATTCCTCAAATTGGTATCGAGGTTTAATGTAATCATATCAAAATCCCTGTAATATATTTGTTGATATACATACGATAGTTCTAAAATGTATATGGAAAGACAAAAGGAAAAGAGTAGCTGAAACAACTTTGAAAGAGAAGGAATATAAGCAATCATCCCACCAGATTTGAAGATTTACAGTGATCTAGGCTGTGTGGTATTAGTTGAGGGATTAATACATAGATAAATGAAACAGAATAAAGACTCTAGAAATAGACCTCCTGAAGTGGAGCCTAATAATTATGACAGATGTGCAAAAGCAATTCAATGGATAATAAAGGGCAATCTTTTCAACAAATGGGGCTGCAGCAATTGGACATCGATATAAAAAAAGGAACTAGGCCAGGCACGGTGGCTCATGCCTGTAATCCCAGCACTTTGGGAGGCTGAGATGGGCGGATCATGAAGTCAGGAGATCAAGACCATCCTGGCTAACACGGTGAAACCCTATCTCTACTAAAAATACAACAAAATTAGCTGGGCATGGTAGTGGGTGCCTGTAGTCCCAGCTACTCGGGAGGCTGAGGCAGGAGAATGGCGTGAATCCGCGAGGCAGAGTTTGCAGTGAGCCAAGATCGTGCCACTGCACTCCAGCCTGGGCGACAGAGCAGGACTCCGTCTCAACAAAAAAAAAAAAAAAAAAAAGGAACTAAACCTCACATGTTCACACACACAAAAAAAACTCAAAATAGATTGCAGACTTAAATGTAAATGTTAAACTATAAACCTTTTTAAGAAAACATAGGAAAAAATCTTCAGGGTCCTGGGCTTAGTGAAATGTTCTTGGACATGACACTAAAAACATGAGCTGTAGAAGAAAAATAAAATTAGACTGTATGAAAATTAAAAACTTTTTTTTTGCTGGAAAATACCTTGTTAAGAGTATTGGAAACCACTCTTACATTTAGAGTCCACATATCTGACAAAGTACTTTTATCTCTGGAATATATAAAGAACTCTCAAAATTCAACATTTAAAAAATCCAATTAAATAGTGAGCAAAATAATCCATAGTGACAAATCAGATTAGTGGTTGCCTGGAGGTTAGAGGAAGCTGAGGTGTAAGGGAGGAACTGCAGAGGGGCAAAAAACAAAACAAAACAAAACGCAGCCTATTACAAATGATGGAAATGTTCTTTATATTGTCGGAATGGTTTCATGAGTGTACAAACTTGTCTCAACCTATCAACCTGTATACTTAAACTATATAGTTTTTGTATGTCAATTACAGCTTCAATAAAGCTGGCTTATTTTTTAAAAAGGTTTATAATTCTTCTAAATAGACATCTATTAAGAAGCCACAATAAATGCTTCATCAATTGAGATAAATCTAGTGGGCGGGGGGAAAATCAGATAAAAAATAATTATAAAAATAGCATATGTAGTACTTTCAAGTTAAGTGCCCAGAGTGCGTTTCAAGTTCTGGTGTTTCGCTGATTTTCAAAATCTATGTTTGCTAACACAATATTCACAACAGACAATTCAGGAAGCTTTGTTTTAAAAAAAAAGCAACCTAGATCTCTTTTCACACTGAACAATTCAAGATATAAGAAGGTTTGGACACAAGCATTTATACTTAAAAAATGAGCCATAATTAATGTATGATAAAATTATCTTTTTAAAGTACAGAATTCAGTGGAGTTTTCTTAGTTTTTTGTTTTTGTTTTCTGAGATGGGGTTTTGGTCCATCACCCAGGCTGGAGTGCAGTGGTATAATCATAGCTCACTGCAGCCTCGACCTCCTGTGCTCAAGTGATCCTCCTGCCTCAGCCTCCTGAGGAGTTGGGACTACAGCCATTCACTACTGCACCCAGCTAATTTTTAAATTTTTTTGTAGCAATTGGGTCTTGATGGGTTGCCCAGGCTGGTCTCCAACTCCTGGCCTCAAGTGATCCTCCTGCCTCAGCCTCCCAAAATGCTGGGACTACAGGTTTCGGCCATCAGGCCCAGCCTCAGTGGCTTTGACTATTGCACTGAATAAATGTCTACTCATTTAGTATTTCATTGGATAAATATCCTTTGATCTTTCTTAAATTAGGTTGTATTTTTGTTGAGTTGTAAGAGTTTCTTTAACATATGCTGGATACTTGACCCTTAGGAAATATATTATTTCATATATTATCTCACATTCTGTGAGTTGTCTTTTCATTTTCTGTGGAGTGTCCTATAGATGTGTCTATTAGGTCTAATTTAAGCCTAATGGTTATTAACTCTATTATTAAGTCTAATGTCAGTCAGATTTTAATTATTGCTTTATGTAGTTGTTTTAAAATTATACACAAGAAACAAGGGTATCACAAAAAAGGTGTCCATTAGCTAGCAGACGAAAGCCATTCAAGTCTTCCATTTATTTTTTAACTGTCTAGTGTTTCTATCATTATTGAAAGAGGGGTACCGAAGTCTTCAACTATTTTTGTTGAATTGTCTATTACTCCCCTTTAATTCTGTCTCTTTTTGCTTCATGTATTTGAGGGCCCCATTGATACGTCATATGTATTTATAATTGTGATATATTCCTGACCAGTTTACTTTTTATTACAATGAAATGCTCTTTTTAGTCTGTAGTAACACTTTTTTCTTTTTTTTTTTCCCCGAGATGGAGTCTTGCTCTGCCACCCAGGCTGGAGTGCAGTGGTGCGATCTCGGCTCACTGCAACCTCTGCCTCCTGGGTTCAAGCAATTCTCCTGCCTCAGCCTCCCGAATAGCTGGGATTACAGGCGCCCACCACCATGTAGAGATGTAGTAATGCTTTGAAGTCTATTTTGTCTGATATTGGTATAGCCACTGTAGCTCTAGCTTCACTACTGTTTGCATGGTATTATCTTTTTGCATCTATTTATTTTCAACCTATTTGTGCCTTTGAATCTAAAATGTGTCTCTTGCATATACAGCCAAATTATTAATTTATTCTGTCAATCTCTGTATTTTCATTGGAGTGTCTAATCCACCTACTTCCATGTGCAATCTGATAAAGTAGAATTTACAGCTAACAGGTTGCTCCTTCCTTCCTCAGGGTCTCACTCTGTTACCCAGGCTAGAGTGCAGTGTAATCACAGTTCACTGTAGCCTCAAACTCATGCACTCAAGCAATCCTCCCACCTCAACCTCCTGAGTAGCTAGGACTACAGGTGTGAGTCACCATGCCTACCTAATTTTTCTTTTTTTTGTAGAGATAGGGCCTCACTCTGTAACCCAGGCTAGCCTCCAACGATAGGCCTCAAGCAATCCTCCTGTCTCAGCCTCCCAAAGGGCTTAAAATACAGGTGTGAACCACTGTGCCCAGTTTGCTATTTTCTATATGTCTTAGGTGCTTTTTATGATTTTCTACATGCCTTGTGTGCTTCCCCCAATCCTTCCCTACTGCCTTCTAATTTGTTAAGCAGATGTTCTCCACTGTACCATTTTCATTTCCTTGTCACTTCACTTACTTCTTGTAAAGCTGTTTTTCCCGGGAATTACAATTAACATCTTGACTTCTAACAATCTTGTCTGGATTGATACTAACTTAAAGCAATAGTGTACAAAAACTTTCCCCCTGTATAACTTTGCTTTCTCCTCCTCTGTGTTGTTGTTGCATTAAAAATTACATTTATATACACTGTATGCATATCAACACATACTTATAATTATTGCTTTATGCAGTTGCATCTCAAATCAGAGAGGAGAAAAAAAGAGTTATGAACACAAAATATATTTACAGTGTCTTTTATGTTTACCTAGGTAGTTACTTACTGATATTATCTCTTTATAGATCCCAATTACCCTCCTTTCATTTCACCTAAAGTACTCTTCAGTATTTTCTTGCAGGGAAAATTTTCCAGCAGTGGATTGTCTCAGCTTCTCTAAAATTGGAAAATGCATTAATTGCTCCTTCATTTTGAAAGATATTTTTACTGGGTATAGAATTCTTAAAGTCTTTTCTTCCAGCACTTTGAAAATATCCTTTTCCACTGCTTTCTATCTTCCATGGTTTCTGTTGAGAAATCAGCTGTTCATCTGATTAAGGCTACTTTGCATGTGATGAGTTGGTTCTCTCCTGCTGCTTTCAAGATTCCCTCTTTGTCTTTCAACAGTTTGATTATGATGTATCTAGGTGTGGATCTTTGGTTTTATCCTTCCTGTAGTTTGTTAAGCTTTACGGATGTGTACATCAATGTTTTTCACCCAATTTGGGAAGCTTTTACTCCCTTTGGCTTCAAGTATTCTTTCTGCCCCTTTCTTTCCTCTTTCCTTCTAGGATAACTCTTTTGCGTATGTTGCTATGATTGTTTTCTCACAGGTTTCTGATGCTTAGTTCATTTTTCCCCATTTTTTTTCTCAGTTATTCAGATGGGATAAACTCAGTTGATCCGTCTTTAAGTTCCTTCTTTCTTCCACCTGTTCGAATCTTTTATTGAAACTCATTAGTTAATATTTCATTTTCATTATTGGAATTTTTAACTCCAGAATCAAATTTTTTATGTCTATGCATCTTTACTGGCATTATTTATTTGGTGAGATATTCTTATACTTTCCTTTAGTGTTTTAGACAGTGTTTACTGCATTGAACATATATAAAATAACTGGTTTAAAGTGTTTTGCTAGTAAACTCAACATCTGGGCTTTCTTAGGACAATTCCTATTGACTCTGTTTTGTTTTTCCCTCTGTATATGCCATCTGCTTTTTAAATTTTCACTGCATGTCTCATACATATATTTTTTGAAAATTGGACATTTTAAATACTACAATGTGGCTGGGCATGGTGGCTCATGCCTGTAATCCCAGTACTTTGGGAGGCCGAGGCAGGCATATCATGAGGTCAAGAGATCGAGACCATCCTGGCCAACATGGTGAAACCCTGTCTCTACTAAAAATACAAAAATTAGCTGGGCGTGGTGGCACATGCCTGTAATCCCAGCTACTTGGGAGGCTGAGGCAGAAGAATGGCTTGAACCCAGGAGGTGGAGGTTGCAGTGAGTGGACATCGCGCCACCGCACTCCAGCCTGGGCGACAGAGTGAGACTCCATCTCAAAAAAAAAAAAAAATACTATAATGTGAAAAATCTGGAAAGTATATCCTCCAACCCTAGGTTTGTTGTTGCTGCTATTTGTTTATTCAGTAACTTTTCTCAACTAATTCTGTAAAGTCTGTATCTTTTGTTGTGTATACTCACTAAAGTCTTTCCTTTGTTATATGAGTTGCCAGCTATTTAGGAAACTGAGATTTCCTTCAATGCTTGGCATCCATGAATCCCCAGTGTTGGCAGTGGGCTGCATCTGTGTGCTGGAGCACATCTTCGGCACAGCCAGGCAGCTGACAGCTCTGTCCCCAGTGTTTGCAGTGGGCTGTGTTGTGTGCTGGGGCACACCTTCCACACACAGCCAGGCAACTGACAGCTCTGTCCCCAGTGTTTGCAGTGGGCTATGTCTGTGTGCTGTGACACACCTTCCACACACAGCCAGGCAGCTGACAGCTCTGCCCCCAGTGTTTGCAGTGGGCTGTGTTGTGTGCTGGGGCACACCTTCCGCACACAGCCAGGCAGCTGACAGCCCTGCTTTAGCCTTCACTTCCTGCCTGTGCACAGTCTCAAGGTCAGTCAGAGGTGAGAGTCTAAGGCCTTCTCAGATTTTTCCTGAGCATGTGCACAGCCTTACATGTGTTTTTTGGAGCTTTTCAAAGAACTTGTGGACATCGAATTCCCCAGCCTTTCCTTTTCATCTTTTTATAGCTTATTATCTTCCTCAGTTGATATCCACTGCCTCAGGCAGCCCCAAGGTTAAGCAATTACTTCTAAATTTTCAACCCAACAACCCAGGGAAAAGGCTTTCTAGACTGGGAAAGCTCTGCATTTGGTCAAGTAAAAATAGTCTTGCAAGTGGGGTCTTCTACTGAACCACCAGACAGACCAAATACTGACAATTCTCCAACAGTGAGACTCTGAGGAGCTTTAACTCTGTTCTCTCCACTTTGGTGACAGAAAGGCTGATGGTTTCATCATGATTGCAGCCTGAATTGCAGATTCAAGGCTACCAGGGAGCTGGAGATGGGAGAAGGAAATAGGGCAGGTTAAAATGTCACAAAAGTCACTGTTCTTACCAAGATTCGGCCTATTTTTATAAAAAATAAATGCTCCCCAGATTGCTGCTAGCTTTTGGTCTCCTCTTAGTTTATTTCTAAAGTTTTGAAAAACTTACTTTTGGCAAATGTTGGCAGTTTCCTTCTTCTTTCTGATTTTATGGAGGAAATAATTTTTGAGGCCATTATTCTGCTATTTTCACATACATACCTCAACACTCATATTTTAAAAGTTCTTCATAGGCTCTGTTGCATATTCATTTTAAGAACCACAATGCACAAGTGGCAACTGCCTCTCTTGGCCATGGCATAATATTAGCATTTTATTCTCAGAAGAGGAAATATGAGGAGGACTCTGTATGATGAGCATAGGTAAAGCAAGAGCACAGATGCATACTGACAACAGAGGTGGGTTAAGAATGCATGACCCCCAGCCCCTCCCTTGTTTTGGTTTCCAGAGCTCTGACTGCCAGGCACATACTGCCCAGGTAGCATACTAGAAAAATTTTCTCTGGGAAATGTGATCCAATGAAGAGAAAAGACCTAATCATATTAAGGTCCCCAAAATACGTTCCCATCCAAATCATGCTATGATGAAGCCCACTTCTCCAACATCACCACCACTACCATACAGACATATGGGAACCCCCTGCCTGCACACACCACACACACACATACACACACACACACACACACACACACTACACACACACAGCTTCTACCAAAGATCACCTATCATCATGAGAAAGGCTCTAATATGACAAATAGAGACCAAAATAAACAACAGATAAGGGACTTTGAGGATGCAGACAATACAGGAAGTAGAAGAAAAATTCCATAAAAAGCAAAAGCAAGAAGTAGAAGGATCAAGGAGCAGGAAGAAAATGAAGCAGCAGCAGAAGCAGAAGAAAGAAAGAAGAAGGGGAAGGGAAAGGGGCACGGGGAGGAAAAAAGAAGAAGAAGGAGGAAGACGAGGACAACTTCAGTACTATAACAGAGCAACGGCATTGCTTTAAAAATACTAACAAAAATCAGATACTTCCAACAAGAAACATTCAGAGAGCAAAACAAAGCTATTGGGAACTGGAACATTGGAATAAGAAAAGAAACAACAAAATTCTAAGAAAAAGTATTCAACTTATTCCTAGCCACACTATTCATCAAGTGTAAGGGTAAAAATAAGGTCTTCAAAATCCTGCTATGCTCCCTTTCCCAAACTGTAATAAAGGACACCATCCATCAACTGAGAAGATAAACCAGGAAAGAGGATCTGGATCCACAAATGGAGAATGGCAAGGGAAATTCTCTAGTTGATAGCTATTGAAATAATACAAAGTAGCTATTTGGTCTTTGTCCATGGTTCCTGACATAGAGCTTCAAAAACTCTTAGTGACAGAAATCAGAAATTCCTTGTTATGCTAATGAAGTGGCTCATGGAAGGGGTCCCTCAAGTGGTTTCAGGATGGAGGCTGGTTGCCAGAGAAACCAACCAAGTGATTGGAGAACTGGAACTTGAGGCTTAACCTCCAAGAAGGGGAGGGATGCTGAAAATTTAGCTCAATCATGTGGTCAAAAGTTTAATCAATCATGCATACAAAATGAAACTCCATCAATAACTCCAGACGGCAAGGCTTGGGGAAACTACCTGGTTGGTGAACACATCAATGTATGAAGAGGATGGCACTGCTGGTCTCCACAGAGACAGAAGACCCTGTGCTTAGGACTTCCTAGACTTTGTCCTATGTAACTTTTCACCTGGAAGCTCATTTGCATTTTTATAATAAAACAATAATCACAAGGACAATTATGTGTCACATAATGACATTTCAGGGAACTATGGACAGCGTATCTGAAAGTGGTCCCATAGGATTATAATGGCTAAAAAATTCCTATTGCCTAGTGATGTCATAGCTGTCATAACATCACAGTGCAATTACTTTTTTTTTTTAATTTAGTGTAGTCTAAGTGTACAGTGTTTACGAAGTCTACAGTAGCACACAGTAATGTCCCAGGCCGTCACATTTACTCACTACTCACTCACTGACTCACCAGAGCAACTTCCAGTCCTGCAAGCTGCACTCACGGTAACTACCCTGTATATGTATATCATTCTTTTATCTTTTATTCTGTATTTTTACTACACCTTTTCTATGTTTAGATACACAAATACTTACAATTGCATTACAATTGCCTACACTATTCAGTAAAGCACCATGCTGTACAGGTTTATAGCCTAGGAACAATAGGCTCTACCATATAGCCTAAGTGTGTAGTATGCTATAACACCTAGGTCTGTGTAAGTAGACTCTGATGTTTGTACAAGAACGAAATCGCCTAATAATGCATTTCTCAGAACGCATCCTCATCATCAAATGACTATTTAGCACCAAGTTCTGGGAGTTGTTATAGCAAATTAACAAATGTGAGGAAGTTGTAGGAAGCCCCAAATGTGTAGATGGCCAGGCAGAAGTGCAAGGTAGTGTCTGAATCGAACTGGGTCATAGAATACTCAGTTGATGTCAGAAAGCTGTTGACAAAAGGCAATCATAAAAGAAAATATCAGTCTGACAGCTGCAGAACAGGGCTAGGAAACAATCAATTTACATTCAAGCAGGAGGATAAAATGCTTCAAAAGATGTCTCTAACAACATGGAAGACACAGATCCACGTGTCTGAACATGGGGAGAGAAAATTACATGTCTACTGGAGAGTTTGGGGATAGAATAGTGATCATTACATGAAAAATTCAACAACCGGCCAAAGATAATAGTATTAACTCTAAGGAAAAGGAATATAGCCTATTGCATGGCTCTCAGCTGTGAATCATGAGTTTACAGATTTTAATATAAACATTATATATTAATTTAAACAAAAATGATTATGTAATTTCATTAGGTAAATGTGATAAATGAAGGGAAGTGTGTTAATTATGCGTGGTAGTGGAGGTAGAGAGTGAACAGAGAACTAAGTCCTCACCTTCAGTATTGTGAGGTTCTCCATTGTTCAACAGAACTAAAGCAAAAAGTGGTAATATAAGCATTTTATTTCAAGATATGCACGTAAATCTCAAAGAAACAGCTAAAAGAGTTAGAATTGGTTGTCTATGAGAAATGTAAATGGAAGCAGAGAACAATAATCCTCACAGAATTATCTCAGCTTTTAAACTATGGGCAAGAGTTATATTACCAAAATGTTAATTTTAAAAAGTATCACCAATCATGAGTATTGTGACAATATCACAGGAATTATTATTACTTTAAAGAACAGAATGTAAGAGGTGTGGTAGCTTTCCCAAGCTCACATAATTACTGAGGGTCTCATCTTATTTGTTTTGTTTTGTTGTTTTTTTGGTGTTTTTTGTTGTTGCTGTTGTTTTTTAGATGAAGTCTCACTCTGTCACCCAGGCTGAAGGGCAGTGATGCAATCTCAGCTCACTGCAACCTCCGCCTCCCGGGTTCAAGCAATTCTCCTGCCTCAGCATCCCCAGTAGCTGGGACTACAGGCACCTGCCACCACGCCCGGCTAATCTCTATATTTTTAGTAGAGATGGGGTTTCATCATGTTGGCCAGGCTGGTCTCAAATTCCTTACCTCAAGTGATTCACCCCCCTCGGCCTCCCAAAGGGCTGGAATTGCAGACGTGAGCCACCGTACCTGGCCTTATCTCATTTTTAAATGTTGTTCTTGTGAATTCAAACATTTTGTCTCTCTCTGAATTGTCCTAATAGCCACATATAAATAAGTAAAGTATTTCGGTATTGTGGGAGTGCAAAAGGTTAATTCTGATGGGAAGGGATCTGGAAGTCTCTTTATGGACACCTCCATTTGAACCAGACCTTGAGCAATCTTAGGCTGTTCTTTCCACGCAGGAAACGTGCCTGGATGACTTTCCTTCCTCCTCTTCTGTTGCCACTACCTGGCTTCCTCCCAGGTCCGGGCTGGGTGAGGCTGGCACTTAAGTGAAGGGGTTTCCTGAGCCTCCACTGTTTGGCAGCTGTCTAGTCCCGCTGAGCATGGTGGTTCCACTCCTACAAGCACCATGAATCTGGCCAGCATTGGTATCCAATCAACAACATCGGGAGAATGACAGTACATCCAATGGGCTTGCCACAAGGACTGAGTGAGATAACATGCTTATTGTGAAACAGGGCTGCCATGCATCTCTTGCTCTTGTGATGAATCCAAAGCTCTCCTGGCCCACAATGCTCCTCGGGTAGGCAGCTCTGCATATCAGCCCTTGGTGGGTGTGCTCATCCTGTGGCTACGTGCTCTGTCCTCCTCTCGGACTCTGATGCCTGCTTCAGCAGCCAACAATGCCATCGCACCTCAGTGAAGACACGCCCTCCCGCCGCAGATGGTTTTCCTCAATTAGCCCCCATTACAGCAAGATACAGTTCTGTAACCACTGTTAATATCTGCTTGCTGCAGCTTTTCCCCATCTCCATTTGCCTATCTGCCTATTTACTTATTTTTGTCTGAGAATTTGTGATTTAAGTCTATCTCTTGAAAGTGGCCATAGCTGGAACATTTTCAACTGAAAATGTCCAATTCACAACATGGTGATTACGGATAAGATTGGGTTTCTGTTGTCATAATATGTTGCCTGTTTACCAGACTTTTCTTGTGTTTTCTTAAAGCATTTCTTAGTTTTATTGGATTGTTCAGTTTTCTTTGTTCCATTATTGCCCTTCAAGGTTTGAAAACTTTATATCCTATTTCTATTCTTACAGTGGTTATTTACAAGTTTATGTGAAAGTTATGTGAAAATGCATAATTTATTTTTTCTATATATGCCTTCATAAATCAGTCCATATGCGTGCGTGTGTGCGCGCGCACACACACACACAGGTATGTATATACAGGTATACATATAAATAGATGATATAGATATAGAAAAGTATCTTAGAATGCATTTCTTCTCTGCTTTTTCTACCTCTGAAATACACTACCCTCACTCCTCCAGGACCGTTTGTAGAGTGAATTCTGAAGTTTCAGTTATAGATTGCTGTTGATGTTTCATGGGATGTTTGACAACTGACAATTAGGCTTAATGCCAAATTTTCTGGACTCTAACTGCTTGGATTTATTATATCTCACTTATTCTGCTTAGAGTTTGATTTTGGTTTTGCATAACTGGATTACATTATTCCAGCAATTCTTTCAGATAATTTGTGGGTGGTAAACTTTGAATCCTTGCATACATGAAAACACTTTTTTTTTTTTTTTTTTTTTTTTTTTTTTTTTTTGCTTTTCTACTTGGCGTTTCAGAGATCTTAGGATACTAATCAGTTTCTCATCGGAGCTTGGGCGTTATAGCCCTCTGTAATGTCCTAAATAGCCTTTTTTTCCTTACACCTGATGTACTGGAATTGAAGGATGAAGTGGGTCTGCTGCTTCTAAGTATGTGTTTGTGTTTTCCCTCAAATCTAGAAGCTTTTAGAAAACAAACAAAACAAAAAAAAATCATTTCTCTATATCTGTACTTCCCATTCGCTCAGTTGTCTCTTTCTGAGATATCTGTTAGACTCAAGTTGGAATTTCTTCCAATACCTCCTGTCAGTCTGTGGCTTCTAAATTTAATTTCCCACTGTAATGCTCCTTAGCAAAGGCAGATTCCAGTCTGTGGTGGGAGGTACACACAGTGAGCCCAGGACACCTTATTTTATTTTCTGCCAGGAAATAGAAGAAATGATTAAGGATCACAGTGACCAAAGCAAAACAATGCAGGAGCCAATCTGACAGTTCAAGCATCAGAAAGAATAACTGCAATGGAGTAAAACATATCAAATGCCAAAAAAATCAATAGTTCAAACTGAAAATAAAATCTCACTGGTCACCTATTTCAATTATCTTGGCTACTGCATAATCCATTCATTTAATGAGCAAATAAACAGAAATATCCTGAAAACAAAAAAATACAGCACTTCAGAAGGCCAAGGCGGGCACATCACCTGACGTCAGGAGTTCGAGACCAGCCTGGCCAACACGGTAAAACCCTATCTCTACTAATAATACAAAAATGTGCTGGGCATGGTGGTGTGCACCTGTAGTCTCAGCCACTCGGGAGACTGAGGCATGAGAATTGCTTGAACCCAGGAGGCGGAGGTTGCAGTGAGCCAAGATTATGCCACTGCACTCCAGCCTGGGCAACAGAGTAAGACTCTGTCCCAAAAAGAAAAAAAAAAATACAAAGAAGACCTGGGTTCAGGTCCCAAAATGTTCTCTGCCTAGACAGGTACAGTCATTAAGAACACCATTTCACATGATCATCAAAGAGACAAACATCAGTGAAAGTGCTTTAAAAATGTTAAAGTTCTTTAAAGTTATATACATATAGATGATGTTACTTTAGGGCTTTTTTCAAATATACACAGTGATATATGCATCCAAAGTCACACAACCAAAGCCACCTATTAGGAGGCCCTGAATACCAGCCCACTCTAGTTCTGCCCCCACAGCCCTTTCCAGATTTCCCAGATTTAACAATAAAGTAAGGAGGAAACTAATTTTCCTCCAAAAGAGTGGCATTTCTGAAATAAGTACAGCATTCCCAATCCAAACAATGCCACATTATGTATCCTACTCTGTGTTCATTTCCTCTATTTGAGACTAAGTTTCGAGCACTCTAACACTAAGTTTCAAGCACTAATTCAGTACACTTTCCAAGTGACACCTGGAAAAATCCAGGAAGCCAGTGGAAATCCAGGAAGCTGCCTTGTGCCGACACATCAATGACCAGCTGCTTCCCGCTGTTGCAAAACACCCCCGGAAAGGGAAAATTTCCTGTCATGAATATTCCTTTTCAGTTTTTACTTTAATCCAATGCCCATAACTGTCCCTGTCAGAAACAATGAAGGTACCATCTGTACACTGCTGTTTTAATGCATGACTGATGGTTACTGTCAAAGGATTGTCTTGGACCACGGAATTTGCATTAACTGCTTTCTGCATGGAAGAGGATGGAGGGTCCGAACAACCCTGCATGTTTCAGAGGGAAAGGAGGCAAGGAGGTGCACCCTGCAGCCACACATCATCTTCAACAGCATGATAGTCAATCCTAGAGTGCAGGAAGCAGAATTAAAAGCCTACTGCTCCTAGGACCACTAGTCAGTGTAAATCACTCCCTGGCCTAAATCACTAAGACAAAGGCCTCTGATACAGTTTCTGTTTAGTCTGAAGTTGTAAAATGCAAGACCGGTAATATAAAGAACAGGGAAGCCTCCAGGACAGATCTGGAGACATCTTCCTGCTTGAAACATTACAGGCTGTCTGAAATTTACCTGACTTACATGTATATCCTGATTTCTAGTTGTTTATAGGATGTGGCCCTGAAGAGTAACTACAAACACCTGAATGTCTGCAAGTATCAGGATTCTATGGACGTTGTCCATTTTTATCAACATATCTGTTATCCTTTCACTTTTAATCAAGAAATTTTCTTGATCTTTAACCTACAGATATTTTAGGCAAATTTAAAATATTGTCCTAAATGATTCAGTCACAAAGTTGAGGAGTGTCAACATTTGATCAAAGGCTTAAAAAGTAGCACTTTTTATTTTTAAAGGAAAACTCTGCAAGAAAGTTTTTAAATGTTGTTTTTAAAAAGAATGTTTTTAAAGCTTTTGGCCAATTGATTTTCAAAACCCGAAATATATTTCAGTGAATATATTAGCTATGGCTATAAAGTTGGGGTTTTCCAAGTTAACACACCAAAATGTTCATTACCTAATTACAGCCTATCCTTAAAATCAGTCAGTGTAGAAGGCTTTTGATTTGCTAAGAAACTTAGGGAAATTTTTTTCTTTTCCTTCAGAGTCAGATAGGCATCCAAACAAAAACAAACAAAAAAACCCATCTCTATCTCAATCATTAGCCAACAACCTTCATCATCAGATCCTGATTTGAGGGACACACTGCCATTCCTAATAAACAAACTGCTAAATGAAATAAGCAGAAGGCCACTGGCTGGAGACTATCTCCCATCTTTGAGTTCCTACTTAACAAAGGCAACCTAATTTATTAAGCAAACAAACCAAAACCTAACTTAGGACTATAACAGCAGAGTTTCAGCTAACCATGAACAGCTAGATTTCAGCCAATCACAGGCAGCCAATTCATCACCCCATGCCAAGTAAGACAAGTGCCTAGTGGTAGCCAATCAGATTATCTAATTTGCTTCTGTGTTCAGCCTATAAAAGCTGGTTGCTCACACTACTGAGTCAAGCTCTCTGAACCTCTTCTGGTCCTGAGTGCTGCTTGATTCATGAATTGTTCTTTGCTCATATAACGTCTGCTAAATTGAATTTGCCTAATGTTTTCTTTGTTAACAAAATCCCTCCTAAAAATAAGAACATCCATACTGAAGATATTTAATTAAAGGCATTTTAATTTCAGTAAAGGTCCAGAGAATTTGATATTTTAATCAATCAAGAAATAGAAACATAAGCAGAATGTTAAAATATTAGTGATGACCTGAAACAGAGCCTGTTAAAAGTACCTGTCTTAGGATGGTGATGGGAAACCTGGGGCCAGGGGCTAGGGCTTCTCATAAGCCCTTCTTTACTACTGACTTTGTAAATAATGTGTGTGATGTCAACATTTTTAAATATTAAAAATTTCCATTACCCATACATTATTTTCATATCATACACACATTAAATAATTAAAATGTCCATTAGGGCACAGGCATAGTGGACAATACAATGTCCAAATGTGATACAGTTAAACAATCATGCATTAATTCCACTAACAACCCTTTCACAACTCTTGAAAAACAAAATAAATTAGTCACCAGTCCAATTTCCATAAAACTGCTTAAAAGTGATACACTTTATACACAAAAATCAATTCTAGGTGGGTTATAAACAAACATGAGAGGTAAAACAGTAACAAAAATTCACTAAAACAACAATGGAAAGCTTCTAAAAAATACAGAAAAATATCTTCATGAACTTGGGGAAGGGAAAGACTTTTAAAATATGACACTGTAAGCACTAAATGTAGAAGAAAGGATTTCTAAACTAGGCCACACTAAAATTAAGAATTTCTGTTCACCAAAAGACACCATTAATCTGTAAGCATGTCATACTTCAATTGAAAGTTTACAAAAGGAGAAAAGAAAGAATGTCAAAAAGTAAAACAATAAGCCAAAGAGTCTAAGATACCTGCAAAACATATAACTGCAATGGTTTTGTTTTTTGGTTTTTTTTTTTGATACAGAGTCTCGCTCTGTCACCCAGGCTGGAGTGCAGCGGCATGATCTCAGCTCACTGCAAGCTCCGCCTCCCGGGTTCACGCCATTCTCCTGCCTCAGCCTCCTGAGCAGCTGGGACTACAGGCGCCTGCTACCACGCCCGGCTAATTTTTTGTATTTTTAGTAGAGACAGGGTTTCACTGTGTTAGCCAGGATGGTCTCGATCTCCTGACCTCGTGATCCGCCCGCCTCGGCCTCCCAAAGTGCTGGGATTACAGGCATGAGCCACCACGCCTGGCCAACTGCAATGGTTTGAATGTTTGACCCCTCCAAAACTCATGCTGAAATTTAATTTCCACTAGGATGGTATTGGGAGACAGAACCTATAAGAGATGCTTAGGTCATGAAGGCCCCACCCTCCTGAATGGACTAATGCAGTTACCTTGGGAGTGGGTTCATTATGAAGGGAGCAGGTTTAGCCCTCTTGCTCTCTCTCTCTCACACCCACTCTTTGCCCTTCTGCCATGTGATGCCTTCCACCACGTTGTGAAGCAGCAAGATATGCCAGATACTGGCACCTTGATATCAGACTTTACCATCCCCAGAACTATGAGAAATAAATTTCTATTTTTAATAAATTACCCAGTCTCCAGTCTGTTATAACAGCACAAAACAAAGACAATGACTACGGGTTTATATCTGTAATACAGAAAAACTCATACAAATCAATAAAGAAAAAAACAAACCAACACAAAACAAAAAAAAAAGAGAGAGAGAAATAGTAAAGAGACACGATTAGACACTTCTCAAAATAATATATCAAAATGGAAAATAAAAAAATGAAAATCTCCTCAACCTTAGCTGTAATCAGGGAAATGCTAATTAAAATCACAAGAAAATGTCACTCCACACCCACTAGAATGGTAAATTTAATAGACTAAAAATGCCAAGCGTTGGTGAGTATGTAGAGCAACAAGAATTTTCATACACTGCTGGTGGGAATGCTAATTGGTATAACCATTTTGAAAATTGTTTAGCATCATCCAGAAAAGTTAAAAACACGCTGCCCTATGGCCCCGCCAATCTACTTTTACGTCTGTATCAGAGAGAAATGCATACTCCTGTCCGTCAGAAGACATGTAACACATTCCTTGAAGTGTTCTTGAAAGCAGACAAAATCTAGAAGAAATCTAAATAGCCATCAATATAATAATACATGTTGTTATATTCATACAATAGAAATGAAGAAAGAAGAGCTACAGACAACAACTTGGGTGGCTCACAAAAATAAAAATGAACCAAAAAAGCCAGATCCCAAAGAACGCATGCTGTGTGCTTGGGTGATTCCTCTTATACAGAGTTCCAGAGAAGGGCAAAACTAGACTTTGGTGTTTGAAGTAAGGCAAACAGTTTAGCTCTGGAGGAGCGAAGGTCTGTATTGGGTGGTGACAGCTTAACGGGGTTCACTTTGTGGTAACCCACTGAATTGGTTTTGATATCGTGCCACATTAGTGTATATCTACTCTACTACAATTTAAAGTTTTAGAATAGGGTTAAAGAATAACTTCCAAAATAAGATGTGTGTCTCTCTACGAGAGACCTTTAACACAGTGTGTTAAAGGTTACTTCAAATGACAATAAAACTTCTTAATGGAGAACTTAAACAAACTGTTTCCTGACTAGTGATTTCAATTGTAAATTTCATCCATTTGCACTTAATGAAATATACTTTGGCAATCAGTGAGCAGCCTTACCCTAATTTGCTTAATCTAAATCTCTGATCATAATATCTTCTCTGTGTGGACTTCTTAAAATAGATACTTTAGATTATAAACTCATTTAACAATCCTGAAATTTGAAACCAACTAAAGAGTTAGCCTAACACGTGCCTTCTCTCCACAAAATAAAGTAAATAAGTTCTCCTCCCTCTCTAAGTCCTCTCCCCAGAGTATAGACACCATGGCTCTTTTATCCAAGACAGGAATATTTACAGACAATTCACTTCCAATGATGCAAGAGTAAATTTCCCATGCTGAGAATCTCTCACAGGTGGCATTCATTAACCATGACAACTGCAATTTCCTACTCCTTGTCCACTGCCACCTACAGCTTAGACAGGTCAGCTCCTACACCTACGAGCTGACGCAGAGCCAGTAGTCAGCCACACATCCAGGCCTTTCCCACAGCCCATTCTTCTGCACTAATTTTTAACCCATAATACAAGATTTTGTATAATTCATTGCTTAATTTCTTATTAGTTTCAGTCCATTGTTTTGGCTACCTGGGAGCTGTGACTCCAAGGCCTCTGCGGTATCTTCAAGCTTTAGATCTTGGAAACTTAATTAGCATAGTACATGATACCTTGTCTTGAGATATCAAAAATAAAATCAACAAGGAGAGCTAAGGATAACAGGGGTGTGTGTGACTGAGTGTGCATTTACACACACATAAATATGCCCAAGTACATACTATTTTACAATACTTTTTGAATTTCTTTGGCTATAATGGTTTATAACTGATGTTAACTGAATAAGGAAATCACTGAAATTAAGAGCATGGGAACTGCAATTAGAAGATGCCAAATGACTTCCCTCTTCTTTGAGGAGGAGTAAAACACTACCTAATCCTGATTTTAAAAATAAATCAATAAGGCAGCAGAGATTTTCGTTGGCCTTCCTCCATGACAAGACTATTTCTCTTCCTTTAACAGCATGTCAAAGATGAAACGAGAAGCTCTGAGAGAGCTGAACCCTTCAGGGAATATCTTCAGTGGTAGCCTTGAAAGGCAACATTTACAAGAAAGATTCCTTTAGTAAAAGTGCTTACAATTCTCAGTCTATACAGATTAAAAGAATTTTGTGGGTTTATCTCCCACAGCCCTCTTCAGGGCTCTGTCTCCTAAACCTCTTCAGGTTTTAGGAGACAAAATTTCAACCATAATAAATTGGTATCAATTATAAAGGTGCATTACAGATTTTTTTATTTATATCTAATAGCTGTACATATTTTGGAGGTACGTGTGATATTTTGATACCCACAGACAATGTGTAATGATGAAATCAGTATCATCGGGGTATCTACCACCTCAAACATTTATCTTTTATGTTGGGAAAATTACAAGTCTGCTCTTCTAGTTATTTTGAAATGTACAATAAATTATTGTTAACTATAATTTCTCTACTATACTATTAAATACTAGAACTTATTCCTTCTATCTAACTATATCTTTCATCTAACTTTTTTATTTAATTGTATTTATTTATTTATTTTGAGATGGAGTCTCGCTCTGTCACCAGGCTGGAGTGCAGTGGCGCGATCTCGGCTCACTGCAACCTCTGCCTCCCGGGTTCAAGCGATTCTCCTGCCTCAGCCTCCCGAGTAGCTGGGACTACAGGCATGCGCCATCACCCCCAGCTAATTTTTGTATTTTTAGTAGAAATGGGGTTTCACCATGTTGGCCAAGATGGTCTCAATCTCTTGACCTTGTGATCTACCCTCTTTGGCCTCCCAAACTGCTGGGATTACAAGTGTGAGCCAACGCACCTGGCCTCTTCCATCTAACTTACTCCCTTTAACCAACTTCTCCTCTCCCCACTGTCTTCCCAGTCACTGGTAACCACCACTACACTCCCTACTTCCGTGAGATCCACTTTCTTAGCTTCCACAAATTAGAGAGCACATATGATATTTATTTCCACTTAGAATTTCTGTTCTGCTATCAGTGATGATCAACTAGGTGGTTCTCATCAACTCTCCAGTGAGAACAATTAGAAGAGCTTGGGGAAAAAAAAAAAAAAAAATCATGCTTAAGGGCACCAGAATACTAATAGAGCAGTGAGGAATTGCAGGGACAAGATCCAGGAAGAGAGGGGAGCCCTGAGAGAATACCAAGATTTGAGGCCACCTTTCCAGAGCCTGTGGTGATTATTTAATAATGCTTAAGAGGCTAAAATTTTAAGCAAACCTTGACAAACTTAAGAGAAAAGTGGAAAATTTTGAGCTCAAGACTTACTGAAGAGAGGGCCAGGTGCAGTGGCTCATGCCTGCAATCCCAGCACTTTGGGAGGCCAAGGCGGGCAGATCACTTCAGGTCAGGAGTTCAAGACCAGCCTGGGGAACGTCTTGAAACCCCGTCTCTACTAAAAATACAAAAATCAGCCAGGCATGGTGGTGCATGCCTGTAATACCAGCTACTTGGGGAGGAGCCAAGATGGCCAAATAGGAACAGCTCCGGTCTACAGCTCCCAGCCTGAGCAATGCAGAAGACGGGTGATTCCTGCATTTCTATCTGAGCTACCAGGTTCATCTCACTAGGGAGTGCCAGACAGTGGGCGCAGCACAGTCGGTGCAGCGCACCATGCACCAGCCGAAGCAGGGCGAGGCATTGCCTCACTCGGGAAGTGCAAGGGGTCAGGGAGTTCCCTTTCCTGGTCAAGGAAAGGGGTGACAGACGGCACCTGGAAAATCGGGCCACTCCCACCCCAATACTGCGCTTTTCTGACGGGCTTCGGAAACGGCACACCAGGAGATTATATCCCGCACATGGCTCGGAGGGTCCTACGCCCATGGAGTCTCGCTGATTGCTAGCACAGCAGTCTGAGATCAAACTGCAAGGCTTCAGCAAGGCTGGGGGAGGGGCGCCCGCCATTGCCTAGGCTCGCTTAGGTAAACAAAGCAGCCAGGAAGCTCCAACTGGGTGGAGCCCACCACAGCTCAAGGAGGCCTGCCTGCCTCCGTAGGCTCCACCTCTGGGGGCAGGGCACAGACAAACAAAAAGAGAGCAGTAACCTCTGCAGACTTAAATGTCCCTGTCTGACAGCTTTAAGGAGAGCAGTGGTTCTCCCAGCACGCAGCTGGAGATCTGAGAACGGGCAGACTGCCTCCTCAAGTGGGTCCCTGACCCCTGACCCCCGAGCAGCCTAACTGGGAGGCACCCCCAAGTAGGGGCAGACTGACACCTCACACGGCCGGGTACTCCTCTGAGACAAAACTTCCAGAGGAACGATCAGACAGCAGCATTCGCAGATCATGAAAATCCGCGGTTCTGCAGACACCGCTGCTGATACCCAGGCAAACAGGGTCTGGAGTGGACCTCTAGCAAACTCCAACAGACCTGCAGCTGAGGGTCCTGTCTGTTAGAAGGAAAACTAACAAACAGACAGGACATCCACACCAAAAACCCATCTGTGCATCACCATCATCAAAGACCAAAAGTAAATAAAACCACAAAGATGGGGAAAAAACAGAACAGAAAAACTGGAAACTCTAAAAAGCAGAGCGACTCTCCTCCTACAAAGGAAGGCAGTTCCTCACCAACAACGGAACAAAGCTGGATGGAGAATGACTTTGACGAGTTGAGAGAAGAAGGCTTCAGACGACCAAACTACTCCGAGCTACAGGAGGAAATTCAAACCAAAGGCAAAGAAGTTGAAAACTTTGAAAAAAATTTAGACGAATGTATAACTAGAATAACCAATACAGAGAAGTTCTTAAAGGAGCTGATGGAGCTGAAAGCCAAGGCTCGAGAACTACATGAAGAATGCAGAAGCCTCAGGAGCCGATGCGATCAACTGGAAGAATGGGTATCAGCGATGGAAGATGAAATGAATGAAATGAAGTGAGAAGGGAAGTTTAGAGAAAAAAGAATAAAAAGAAACGAACAAAGCCTCCAAGAAATATGGGACTATGTGAAAAGACCAAATCTGCATCTGATTGGTGTACCTGAAAATGACGGGGAGAATGGAACCAAGTTGGAAAACACTCTGCAGGATATCATCCATGAGAACTTCCCCAATCTAGCAAGGCAGGCCAACATTCACATTCAGGAAATACAGAGAACACCACAAAGATACTCATCGAGAAGAGCAACTCCAAGACACATAATTGTCAGATTCACCAAAGTGGAAATGAAAGAAAAAACGTGAAGGGCAGCCAGAGAGAAAGGTCGGGTTACCCACAAAGGGAAACCCATCAGACTAACAGCGGATCTCTCGGCAGAAACTCTACAAGCCAGAAGAGAGTGGGGGCCAATATTCAACATTCTCAAAGAAAAGAATTTTCACCTAGAATTTCATATCCAGCCAAACTAAGCTTCATAAGTGAAGGAGAAATAAAATACTTTACAGACAAGCAAATGCTGAGAGATTTTGTCACCACCAGGCCTGCCCTAAAAGAGCTCCTGAAGGAAGCACTAAACATGGAAAGGCACAACCGGTACTAGCTGCTGCAAAATCATGCCAAAATGTAAAGACCATGGAGACTAGGAAGAAACTGCATCAACTAACAAGCAAAATAACCAGCTAACATCATAATGACAGGATCAAATTCACACATAACAATATTAACTTCAAATGTAAATGGACTAAATGCTCCAATTAAAAGACACAGACTGGCAAATTGGATAAAGAGTCAAGACCCATCAGTGTGCTGTATTCAGGAAACCCATCTCACGTGCAGAGACACACATAGCCTCAAAATTAAAGGATGGAGGAAGATCTACCAAGCAAATGGAAAACAAAAAAGGGCAGGGGTTGCAATCCTAGTCTCTGATAAAACAGACTTTAAACCAACAAAGATCAAAAGAGACAAAGAAGGCCATTACATAATGGTAAAGGGATCATTTCAACAAGAAGAGCTAACTTTCCTAAATATATATGCACCCAATACAGGAGCACCCAGATTCATAAAGCAAGTCCTGAGTGACCTACAAAGAGACTTAGACTGCCACACAATAATAATGGGAGACTTTAACACCCCACTGTCAACATTAGACAGATCAACGAGACAGAAAGTTAACAAGGATACCCAGGAACTGAACTCAGCTCTGCACCAAGCAGACCTAATAGACATCTACAGAACTCTCCACCCCAAATCAACAGAATATACATTTTTTTCAGCACCACACCACACCTATCCCAAAATTGACCACATACCTGGAAGTAAAGCTCTCCTCAGCAAATGTAAAAGAACAGACCACAGTGCAATCAAACTAGAACTCAGGATTAAGAAACTCACTCAAAACCGCTCAACTACGTGGAAACTGAACAACCTGCTCCTGAATGACTACTGGGTACATAACGAAATGAAGGCAGAAATAAAGATGTTCTTTGAAACCAACGAGAACAAAGACACAACATACCAGAATCTCTGGGATGCATTCAAAGCAGTGTCTACAGGGAAATTTATAGCACTAAATGCCCACAAGAGAAAGCAGGAAAGCTCCAAAATTGACACCCTAACAGCACAATTAAAAGAACTAGAAAAGCAAGAGCAAACACATTCAAAAGCTAGCAGAAGGCAAGAAATAACTAAAATCAGAGCAGAACTGAAGGAAATAGAGACACAAAAAACCCTTCAAAAAATTAATGAATCCAGGAGCTGGTTTTTTGAAAGGATCAACAAAATTGATAGACCGCTAGCAAGACTAATAAAGAAAAAAAGAGAGAAGAATCAAATAGACGCAATAAAAAATGATAAAGGGGATATGACCACCAATCCCACAGAAATACAAACTATCATCAGAGAATACTACAAACATCTCCACGCAAATAAACTAGAAAATCTAGAAGAAATGGTAAATTCCTCGACACATACACTCTCCCAAAACTAAACCAGGAAGAAGTTGAATCTCTGAATAGACCAGTAACAGGAGCTGAAATTGTGGCAATAATCAATAGCTTACCAACCAGAAAGAGTCCAGGACCAGATGGATTCACAGCCGAATTCTACCAGAGGTACAAGGAGGAACTGGTACCGTTCCTTCTGAAACTATTCCAATCAACAGAAAAAGAGGGAATCTCCCTAACTCATTTCATGAGGCCAGCATCATTCTGATACCAAAGCTGAGCAGAGACACAACCAAAAAAGAGAATTTTAGACCAATATCCCTGATGAACATTGATGCAAAAATCCTCAATAAAATACTGGCAAACGGAATCCAGCAGCACATCAAAAAGCTTATCCACCATGATCAAGTGGGCTTCATCCCTGGGATGCAAGACTGGTTCAATATACGCAAATCAATAAATGTAATCCAGCATATAAACAGAACCAAAGACAAAAACCACATGATTATCTCAATAGATGCAGAAAAGGCCTTTGACAAAATTCAACAACCCTTCATGCTAAAAACTCTCAATAAATTAGGTATTGATGGGATGTATCTCAAAATAATAAGAGCTATCTATGACAAACCCACAGTCAATATCATGCTGAATGGGCAAAAACTGGAAGCATTCCCTTTGAAAACTGGCACAGACAGGGATGCCCTCTCTCACCACTCCTATTCAACATAGTGTTGGAAGTTCTGGCCGGAGCAATCAGGCAGGAGAAGGAAATAAAGGGTATTCAATTAGGAAAAGAGGAAGTCAAATTGTCCCTGTTTGCAGATGACATGATTGTATATCTAGAAAACCCCATTGTCTCAGCCCAAAATCTCCTGAAGCTGATAAGCAACTTCAGCAAAGTCTCAAGATACAAAATCAATGTACAAAAATCACAAGCATTCTTATACACCAATAACAGACAAACAGAGAGCCAAATCATGAGTGAACTCCCATTCGCAATTGCTTCAAAGAGAATAAAATACTTAGGAATCCACCTTACAAGGGATGTGAAGGACCTCTTCAAGGAGAACTACAAACCACTGCTCAATGAAATAAAAGAGGATACAAACAAATGGAAGAACATTCCATGCTCATGGGTAGGAGGAATCAATATCGTGAAAATGGCCATACTGCCCAAGGTAATTTATAGATTCAATGCCATCCCCATCAAGCTACCAATGACTTTCTTCACAGAATTGGAAAAAACTACTTTAAAGTTCATATGGAACCAAAAAAGAGCCCGCATCACCAAGTCAATCCTAAGCCAAAAGAACAAAGCTGGAGGCATCACGCTACCTGACTTCAAACTATATACTACAAGGCTACAGTAACCAAACAGCATGGTACTGGTACCAAAACAGAGATATAGACCAATGGAACAGAACAGAGCCCTCAGAAATAACGCCGCATATCTACAACTATCTGATCTTTGACAAACCTGACAAAAACAAGCAATGGGGAAAGGATTCCCTATTTAATAAATGGTGCTGGGAAAACTGGCTAGCCATGTGTAGAAAGCTGAAACTGGATCCCTTCCTTACACCTTATACAAAAATTAATTCAAGATGGATTAAAGACTTAAACATTAGACCTAAAACCATAAAAACCCTAGAAGAAAACCTAGGCATTACCATTTAGGACATAGGCATGGGCAAGGACTTCATGTCTAAAACACCAAAAGCAATGGCAACAAAAGCCAAAATTGACAAATGGAATCTAATTAAACTAAAGAGCTTCTGCACAGCAAAAGAAACTACCATCAGAGTGAACAGGCAACCCACAAAATGGGAGAAACTTTTCGCGACCTACTCATCTGACAAAGGGCTAATATCCAGAATCTACAATGAACTCAAACAAATTTACAAGAAAAAAACAAACAACCCCATCAAAAAGTGGGCAAAGGATATGAACAGAAACTTCTCAAAAGAAGACATTTATGCAGCCAAAAGACACATGAAAAAATGCTCATCATCACTGGCCATCAGAGAAATGCAAATCAAAACCACAGTGAGATACCATCTCACACCAGTTAGAATGCCAATCATTAAAAAGTCAGGAAACAACAGGTGCTGGAGAGCATGTGGAGAAATAGGAACACTTTTACACTGCTGGTGGGACTGTAAACTAGTTCAACCATTGTGGAAGTCAGTGTGGCGATTCCTCAGGGATCTAGAACTAGAAATACCATTTGACCCAGCCATCCCATTACTGGGTATATACCCAAAGGACTATAAATCATGCTGCTATAAAGACACACACACACGTATGTTTATTGTGGCCCTATTCACAATAGCAAAGACTTGGAACCAAGCCAAATGTCCAACAATGATAGACTGGATTAAGAAAATGTGGCACATATACACCATGGAATACTATGCAGCCATAAAAAATGATGAGTTCATGTCCTTTGTAGGGACATGGATGAAATTGGAAATCATCATTCTCAGTAAACTATCCCAAGGACAAAAAACCAAACACCACATGTTCTCACTCATAGATGGGAATTGAACAATGAGAACACATGGTCACAGGAAGGGGAACATCACACTCTGGGGACTGTTGTGGGGTGGGGGGAGGGGGGAGGGATAGCATTAGGAGATATACCTAATGCTAAATGACGAGTTAATGGGTGCAGCACACCAGCATGGCACATGTATACATATGTAACAAACCTGCACGTTGTGCACATGTACCCTAAAACTTAAAATATTAAAAAAAAATACCAGCTACTTGGAAGGCTGAAGCAGGAGAATCACTGGAACCCGGGAGAGAGAGGTTGCAGTGAGCCGAGACTGTGCCACCATATGCCAGCCTGGGTGACAAAGTGAGACTCTGTCTCAAAAAAAAAAAAACTTATTGAAGAGAGAGAAGACTCTAGTAAATTCTCTGTATTTATGCCCTAGAATGTATATGCAAGAACCAGAAACAAACCAGCGCTTAAAGGGACTGAAGCCCATCTTCGTATCTTCTCAATCCCTAATCTAATTAAGGTTATGTGTGGTTGCTGGTACCCATGGGGTGGCTGTTGTCAGAAGCAAATATTAACAGGAGTAAAAGTGTTCTCCGTTCTCTCATCTCTACCATTTTTCCCATACATTGTCTGGGACAAACTACAAACACAACCAGGCTCAGAAGGAGCACAGACCATGTAACAGAAAAGCAAAAAGAGCCATCACTAATAAAAACAGAGGCACAAAGTGTCTTAAGAATGGAATTATCAGACAGGGACTATAAAAAAAAGTCTTATTAATATATTTGAAGAAAATCAGAACAAGCTTGAGAGCTAGAAAACATCGTAAGAACCAAAAGGAAACTCTTAACACTAAAGCATGCAATATCTGAAACTTTAAAAAGGAGTCAATAAATGGGACTAACAACAGATAGACACAATGAGAGAATTCAAGGACTGAATATTGAATATATGTCAACAGAAAACGGACCGGATGAAGCATGGAGAGACAAAGTAATGGGAATTGTCGCAAAGAATAGGAGGCATATGGAATAAATTAGTCTTCTCCATCTCAGCACTGTTGAAATTGGGGGCCAGATAATTCTTTTTCTTGAGGAGTCACCCTATGCACTATAGGTCATTTAGTAGCATCCCTAGCCTCTTCCCTGTAAGTGTCAGTAGCATCTTTCTCCCCAGTTGGGGCAACTGAAATTTTTTCAAGATAATGCCAAATATTCCCTGGGGAGAGACACTGCCCCTGGTTGAGAATCACTGAGATAAAGTGAAAGCTGTGGTGAACATGTAATCATTGTCCCAAAAAGGGAAGGCAGAAAAAATAGAGCAGAAGCCATATCTAAAGAAATATCTAGGCCGGGCACAGTGGCTCACGCCTGTAATCCCAGCACTTTGGGAGGCTGAGGCAGGCGGATCATGAGGTCAGGAGTTGGAGACCAGCCTGGCCAATATGGTGAAAACCTGTCTCTACTAAAAATACAAAAATTAGCCAGGCGTGGTGGTGCACACCTGTAGTTCCAGCTACTCGGGAGGCTGAGGCAGAAGAATTGCTTGAATCCAGGTGGCAGAGGTTGTAGTGAGCCAAGATCGTGCCATTGCACTCCAACCTGGGCAACACAGCGAGACTCCATCCCCAAAAAAAGAAGGAAGGAAGGAAGGAAGGAAGGAAGGAAGGAAGGAGGAAAAGATCGATCGATCTGGCAACAATTGTCCAAAACTTGTGAATGAAACCAAGGAACAGATTCAATAAGTCATTCTGAATCCCAAGCAGGTAAAACAAAAGAGCAGAAACATATTCTTATCATAGCAAAACTGTTAAAAATCAAAGACAAAGAATAAAATTTAAAAGTGACCAAAGAAAACAAGAACAGAGAAGCAACAGTAAGGCATACAGCTGACCTCTTAAGAGAAGTACTGAAGTCAGAAAACACTAGGGTAATCGACTATAGACACTATGCTGTATATAAAAGTGCTGTAACTAACCGGCAACACAAAGTCTGTATTTCTGAATTATCACACAAAAATTAGGCAATATAAATAAGTTTTGAAACAAACATGGAGAAATTGTGCTACTTCCAGACTCTCAAGAAAGAGAAGTCTAAAGGGCAGAAGGAAAATTATCTCAGATGAAAGTTAGAAGATACAGGGAGGAATTAAAGTAACAAAAAAGGTAAATATACGAGTAAATCTAAAAGAATACTGACTGTAAAAGACAATTATAATCTTATAAGGTTTAAATATATTTATAGAAATAAAATATATGACAATAACAGTAGATAAATTGGAATTATGGAATTAAAGTGTTGTAAAGTCCTCACATTGTACAGAAAGGTTGACGACTTTCACTAGACTTTACTTAGTCATGGATTCCTATTGTAATCTCCAGATCAACCACTGTAAGACAAAAAGAAAGAAATATGACTAACAAACTAATAGAAGAGAAAATTAGAATAATATAAAATGAGCAATTAATCCAGAAAAGTGTAAGAAAAAAGAGGAAAAAAAGAACATAGAAGAGACAAGGGTAAGTGGAAGTAAACAGTGAAGGATAGATTTAAAACCAAATAGATCAGTAACCACATGAAGGATAACTAAAATACAAAGATTATCAAATTCAATTTTTTTAAAAACCCAACTATGTGTTACTTATAAGTATCATCATAAATCATTTAAACACATTTTTTAAAATGGTTTTTAAATTACAAAAGGAATATAGATTGAATATGCAGTGATGGTAAGAGTTAATGAAGAAAACATATAAATGTATTTTAAAATCTGTATTTGTTTACTAATGGGCCTAAGTGTACCACTTTAAAATCAATGCCTGTTAATACTGCTTAAGGCACCATACATCATGTTTATACCTTTTAACTTTTAAATATTTAAATATTTCTCTACACATCTATAAACATAAAGAAAAGATAGCATGAACTCTGCCAGAATGCCTTGTGTGTGCTGATTTTTACCCCCTTGATTTTCAACTTCTTGATTCTTTTTTTGGTTTGTTTAATTTAGCTCCTGTACAAACACATATTACTTTTGTCATTTTAAGAAATGTATCTTATAAAAACATTATTAGATCCAGTTCCTGGTTCCTGATGCAAGAAGCTCAGAATGAACTTTGTCCTAACAAGTAAAAAGGTGAACACACTAGAAAAACAACAGCTCTTCTTGGAGCCCAACTAAGAGGGGAACACACAGGATGAACTTCTGCTCTCAAGATTAGGGGGACAAACAGGGACATACAGAGAGCCAGGACTTTCCAGAGCAGAGACTAATCAGCAAAACCACCACAGGAACCAGCAGCAGAGTAAGAAAACCTGAAACTGGAATTGGCAAATTCCTGGAGGCTCAGTGTGTACAACTTTGAAAGTTAAAAATTCCAAAAGGATTCAATCATAGGGGGTTCCCAAATATCATGAGATTTACCTCCAGAAGCTCTACCAGGTTCCCACAGGAAATACTGAAGAAATGTTCCCTCATCCTTCCACCAGAGGGAAGTGAAAGAAACCACTTGGAAATGTGCCAGAATTTTCTGTTGTTTTTAATAAGGCCTGCCATCAGGAGAAATGAATTAACCAGAGTCTAACCCTCCGGGGTATTATGAGAGCTTACCTGACACAAGGGAAGGGAAATACTGAACTCCACCCACTCTAGCCATCCTATCGCACTCAAGTGGGGAGAAACAAACTGAGAAACACCTATGAAGTTCGTGTCCAGAGGGAAAGGCTCACTAAAAAACTGAGACCTAATCATAGGAGTATAGAATGCTTCCCCTCCCTCCACACCTTAACACTACATTAGTAACTTATTAATTTACAGCAGTTCCTTTTACCTGGTACATCACAGCCACCAATCAAGAAAAAATTACAAAGCATACTAAAAGGCAAAAAACAAACAAAAAACACAATTTGAAGAGACAGAACATGCATTAGTACCAGACATAGCAGCAGTATTGGAATTATCAGATCAGAATTTACAACAACTATGATTAATAAGCTAAAGGCTCTAATGGAAAAAGCAGACATCATGCAAGAACAGTTAAACAATGTAAGCACAGAGATGGAACTCCTAAGACATAACCAAAAAGAAATTCCAGCAATCAAAAATAATGTAACAAAAATAAAGAATATATTTGATAGGCTTACTAGTAGGTTGGATACAGCTGAGGAAAGAATCCCTAGTATGAGGAATATCAATCGAAATTTTGAAAACTGAAAAGCAAAGAGAACAAAGACTGAAAACAACAGAATAGAATATCCAAGGATTGTGGGACAATTACAAATGGTGTAACATATGTGTGATGGGAATGCGAGAAGGAGAAGAAGTAGAGCAGGGTTCCCCAACCCCCAGGCCACAGGCCAGTACCTGTCACCTGGACTGTTAGGAACTGGGCCACACACCAGGAGGTGAGGGGCAGGTCAGGGAGCATTACTGCCTGAGCTCCGCCTCCGGTCAGATCAGCGGCAGCGTGACATTCTTACAGGAACACAAACCCTATTGTGAATTTCACATGCAAGGGATCTAGGTTGCACGCTCCTTATGAGAATCTAATGAATGCCTGACAATCTGAGGTGGAACAGTTTCATCCCAAAACCATGGCCCCCGACAGTCTATGGAAAAATTGTCTTCCACAAAACAGGTCCCTGGTGTCAAAAAGGTTGGGGACTGTTGAAGTAGAGAAAGGAACAGAAGTATTTGAAACAATGATTGAGAATTTCCCCAAATTAGTGTCAAACACCAAACCACACATCCAGGAATCTCAGAAAACAGCAAGCTGATACATGTGGGGGAAAAAAAATCCAACATCTAAGTATATCATTTCAAACTATAAACAAAGATAAAGATAAAATCCTGAAGGAAGCCAAAGGCAGACAAAAAACCCTTCCCTTTAGAGGACCAAAAAGGTTAAGAATTACATCTGACTTACATGAAATCATGCAAGCAAAAAGAGTAGAGTAAAATAATTAGTGTTGAGAGAGAAAGTCACAAATCTAGAATTATTGAAATCATCCTTCAAAAGATAAGGAAAAAAAATACATTCTCAGGCAAAAATTGAAGAAATTTGTTTCAAGCAGACCTGCCTTGAAAAAATGTTAAAAGAAGTTCTTTAAAAAAAGGGAAACGATACAGGTTGAAAGTCATATCTAAATTAAAGAAAGAACCACTGAAGAAGGAAAAAGTGAAGGCAAAATAAAAACTTTTGTTTTTCTTATTAATTTATCTAACAGATAACAGTTTGTTCAAAGTAACAATAGCAAAAATGTATTTTATTATACTTTGTGTATATATAATATATACATATATAATACATATACACACACACACATACACACATATACACACACACACACGCACCTTATAAGAAATAAATGGTACAAGGGACAGGAGGAAGAAATTCATGTTATTTTGCATTATAAAGTGCTCTCATTATGCATGAAGTGGTATAATGTAACATGAAAGGTGACTTGGGTTAGTTGTAAATGTATATTGCAAACTCTAGGGCAACCACTAAAAAAGTAAAAAAAGAACTATAACTGATACACCAAGAAAGGAGGGAAAACATAACCATATAAAATGTCCAACTAAACCATAAAAGTCAGAGTGGAAAACAAAAACTGAAATAAGGAACAAGGACAACAAAAAAATCAGTAACAAATATGATAGTTATTGATCCAACTATATCGACAATCACTCTGAGTGGTCTAAATGCATCAATTTAAAGAGACTGTAAGAGTAGAACAAAAAACAAGACCCAACTGTATGTGCCTACAAAAAACCCACTCTAAATATAAAGACACATATAAATTAACAGTGTCTTATGGATGGAGAAAAATATACCATGCTAACACTAATCCAAGAAAGCAGGAATAGCTATGTAAATTTCAGATAGAGCGTACTTCAAAGCAAGGAAAGTTTCCAGGGATAAAAAAGGATATTACTTAATGATAAAAAGACCAGTTCTACAAAAAGACATAACAGTCCTTAATGTGTATATGCCCAAAAACACAGCATCAAACTAATGAGGCAAAAACTATTAGACCTACAAGGATAAATAGGTAAATCCATTTTCACAGTTGGAAACTTTAACACCCCTCTACCAGAAATTTGAAGAACCAGCAAGCAGAAAACCAGTATAAACATGATTGAACTCAAAACATTGTCCATCAATTGGATATAAGCAACATCTATAGACTATTTTATCCAACAACAGCAGAATACACATTCTTCTCAAGTTCACATGGAATATTCCCCATAATTGTGCCACAGAAAGAGCCTTAACAAATTTAAAAGAATAGAAATTACACATTGCCTGCTATCAGAATACAAAGAAATTATACTAGAAATCAGTAACAGAAAGATTACTGAAAAATCCAAAAATACGTGGAGATTAGACAATATGCCTTTAAATAATATATGCCTCAAAGAAGAATTCTCAAGAGACATTGAAATATTTTAACTGAAATGAAAATGAAAACACAACTTATCAAAATTTGTGGGATGCAGCAAAAGAAGTCCTTAAGCGAAAATCTATAGCCCTGAATACAGTATTGAAATGTACAGAAATGAAAGATCTAAAAATCAGTATTCTAAGCTTCTACTTTAGGAAACTAGAAAAAAGAGCAAATTAAATCCAAAATAAGCAGAGAAATACTAAAAATTAGAGTAGAAATCAACAAAATTGTAAACAGGAAATCAATAGAGGAAATGAACAAAAACAAAATCTGTTTTTTGAAAAATGATCAATAAAATCAATAAGCATCTAGCCAGGCTAAATAAGAAAAAAATGAGAAAGGACAAAAATAACTAATATCAGAAGTAGAAGACATCATTACACAGCCCATGGGCATTAAAAGGATAACAAATAAATACTATGAACAATTCTATGCTCACAAATTTTATAACCTAGATAAAATGGACTACTCCTTGAAAGACAAAATTTCTCAAAACTCAAACAAGAAGAAATAAACAATTTGAATGGGCCTATATCTATCAGAGCAATTGAATCAAATAATAATAACCTTCCAAAACAGAAAGCAACAGGCCCAGAAGGGCTCACTGGTGAAGTCTACAAATTTAAAAAAGAAATTATACCAATTATCTACAGTCTCTTTCAGAGTACACAAGCAGAGGAAATACTTCCTAAAACATTCTATGAGGCCTGCATTACCCTAATACAAATGGCAGATAAAGACATTCTAAGAGAAGATAACCACAAACCAGTATCACTGATGAACACAGATTCAAAAATGCTCAACAAAATATTAGCACGTTGTGGTGGCTCACGCCTCCAATCCTAGCACTTTAGGAGGCTGAGACAGGCAGATCAACTGAGCTCAGGAGTCCAAGACCAGCCTGAGCAACATAGTGAAACCCCGTCTCAACCAAAAATTTAAAAATTAGCAAATTTATCTCAACAATGTACAAAAAGAATTATACACCATGGTCAAGTGAGATTCATTCCAGATATTCAAGGCTGGCTCAACATTAAAAAATTAATATAATCCATTACATCAACAGGCTACAAAAGAAAAATCATATGATTATATCAATAGATGAAAACAATTTTGACATAATCCAACTCCTATTCATCACAAAAACTTTCAGTAAACGGAATAGGGGAGAACTTCCTCAACTTGATAAATATATATATCATTAAGTATGATGTTAGCTGTAGGTTTTTTGTATATGTGTGTATATACATATTTTTCATATGTATATATAAAATATGTATATTATATATACAAAATATGTTTATATAAATGTAAATAAATATACAAAATGTATGTACATATTTATACATAAATGTAAACATGTACACATATTTTACATATACACAAAATGTATGTACATATGTATATTTATATATATATATATATACATATCCAAAAAACCTATAGCTAACATCATACCTAATGATAAGAAAACTGAAGCTTTCCCACTAAGATTAGGAACAAGTCAAGGTTGTCCCCTCTCCCACTCCTTTCAATAGCACACTGGAAGTACTAGCTAATACAAAAGGACAAGAAAAAGGAAATAAAAAGTATATAGACTGGGAAAAAAGAAATAAAGCTGTCTTTGATCGCAGATGACATGATCGTTCATGTAGAAAACCCAAAATAACTGACCAAAAAAAAAATCTCCAGGAGCTAATAAACAATTACAGCAACTTTGCAGAAGACAAGGTTAACATGTAAAAGTAAATCGCTTTCCTATATTTCGGCAATTAACAAGTAGAATTTGACATTGAAATCATAATACCATTTAACCCCTCAAAAATTAAGCACTTAGGTAAAAATCAAGTAAAGTATTTACAAGATCTATATGAGTAAAACTACAAAATTCTTACAAACAAAATAAAGGAAGAACTAACTAAAGAGCTGTTCTATGTTCATGAATAGAAAAATTCAGTATTGTCAATATGTCAGTTCTTCCCAACTTGATCTACAGATTCAATCAAATCCCAGAAGGTTATTTTGTGGGTATCGATAAAGCAATTATAAAGTTTATAGAGAGACGCAAAAGACCCAGAATAGCCAACACAATGTTGAGGAACGACAAAGTTGGAGGACTGATACTACCAAACTTCAAGACTTAGGATAAAGCTATAGTAATCAAGACTGTGTTATTGATGAAAGAATAGACAAAGAGATCGACAAAACACAACAGAGAACCCAGAAATAAGACTCACATGAATATAATCAGCTGATCTTTGACAAAGATGCAAAGGCAATAAAATGGAGCAAAGATCATCTTTTCAACAAATGGTGCTATAACAACTGGACAATCACATGCAAAAAGATAAATGTAGACACGGACCTTACACCCTTCATAAAAATTAACTCAAAGTGGACCACAGACCTAAATGTAAAGTGCAAAACTATAAAACTCCTAGAAGATAATAGAGGAAAACCTGTATGACCTTGGATATTGCAGTAACTTTTTAGATACAATACCAGAGGCACAATCCATAAAAGAAAGAATTGAAAAGATGGGTTTCACTAAAGTTAAAAATGTATGTTCTGTGAAATACAATGTAAAGAGAATGAGAAAACAAGGTACTGACTGGGAAAAATATTTGCAAAAGACATACCTGATAAAGGACTGTCATCAAAAATATACAAAAACTCTTAAATTCAGAAATAAGAAAAAAAAAAAAAAAACCCACTGAAAACTTGGCCAAAGACCTTAACAGACACCTTACCAAAGAAGACCTACAGATGGCAATAAGCTTCTGAAAAAATGCTCCACATCATATGTCATCAGGGAAATGCAAATATAAAACAATGAGATTCCACTACACACCTATTGGAATGCTTAAAACTTAGAACACTGACAACACCAAATGCTGACATGGATAAAGGGCAACAGGGGCTCTCATTCATTGCTGGTGAGAATGTAAAATGGTACATCCACTTTGGGAGATAGTCTGTGATTTCCTTAGAAAATTAAACATACTCTTAGCATACGAACCAGCAAGTGCCCTCGTTGGTATTTACACAAGTGATTGAAACCTTATGTTCACGTAAAAATCTGCACAAGATGCTTACAGCAGCTTTACTCATAATTGCCAAAACTTGGAGGCAACCAAGATGTTCTTCCGGAGGTGAATGGATAAATGAACTGTGCTACATCCAGACCACTGGCATATTATTCAGTGCTAAAAAGGAGTGAGCTATCAAGCCATGAAAGAGTATGGAGAGAGCATAAATGCATATTACTAAGTGAAATAAGTCCATCTGAAAAGGCTACAGACTGTATGATTCCAACCATACGACATTGTGGAAAGGGTTCAACTATGGAGACAACAAAAGGTCAGCGGCTGCCAAGAGCTGTGGTGAAGGTAGTGATAAGCAGGGAGAGCACAAAGAAATTTCAGGAGAGTAAAAATACTCTGTATGATACCATAATGAGGGTATTACACATTATGCCATTATACATTTGCCCAAACCCATAGATTATACAAAACCAAGAGGGAACCTTCTTATAAACTATGCATTTGGGGTGATGATGATGTGTCAATGTAAGTTCATCAGTTGTAACAAATATACTACTCTAGTGGGGAATGTTGATAATTGAGGAAGCTGTGGGAAATCTCTGTACCTTCTTCTTCATTTTGCTGTGAAGCTAAAACTGCTCAAAAAAGTAAAGATTTTTTTAAATGATAAAGATCAATACCTGATTATACCTTCAGCATTTCTTTTTACAATATATTCTAGGTATGTGGGTTTTATAATATTTGACAGTATTTTGTTGGAGTTGTAGCATTTTAAATAGTGGCTAATGAATGTAAAATCATACATATTGCAAACCTACACAGAGGGCCCCCAAAGGAATTCAGATAACACATAAGCCCTTAGGATACTGGGCTCCACAGCCCTGCCTGCCATCTTCAGTGCCAAAACGTAAGTGCATGACCACTTAGTTCTACGGTCTTGTGACTAAAGCTTCCAAAAAGCTGAGTCTGCATTTCAAATCAATAAAATACCAAAATAGTCAATCTTGTATAATTATGTGTTTTACATTTGTATATAATTACATGTTGGTTCATATTATTAACAAACTTGACTTCTGGACATGCTTCATAACCAATGCATATTTATTTTATGCAAATCACTTAGAATGGCCTTCAGATGCATGTGCTCAGGTGACTGACTAAACAGCACAAATAAAGGAGAAAGAAACATTATGGAAACTTGGCAGATTAGAACCTCACACATGCATCACTTCAAAATGATTTCTTGTGTATTATCTCATTCCCAGCCCAGTTACAAGCCCAGGAAGTAAATTAATAATCACCAGAAGTCAGTGTGTGCATATAAGAATAATTTAGGCACTTTCACTTAGCAAATTTATTGATGTATATTCATGATGTTTATACACACAGTTATAGATCATAGACAATATATCCAAAACATCTCTTAAATCTGCCCCCTTCTCCACATTCCCACAGTGGCCATCCTAGTTTCAACCTCCTTGTCCGTTACCTTTCTCTCCTCTCTGACCCGTCTCACACTCACTGCTCTCAGCATCTTCTGCTTAAGCAGAGATTCGGTTACTTCCCTCCCCTGTTTAACGACCCACCATATCTTCCCCCTCTGCCTAGTGCTTCATGAAGGAGCCTGTTGAATAACAGCAGGTCAAGCAATTCCTTTGAGGACTCATGTTGTACCTCTAAAATGTATGCAAAGTTTTTTCACTCCAATCTATAATTTATACTTGAATTTAATACAAATATCATGGTTTGGACTATTTCCTTTTCTAGGAAAATATGCTATGGCAGGCTGGTCTTACAGCTTCACAAAACCCCTGGCACACTGCCTCCTCATGCCCTCAGAGATGCCTAGACTAGGGCCAGGTGAAATGCAAACTTGCAGAGGAACTCAGGACGCCTCACACACTGCAACCTTACTGTCCCCACACTCATCTAGCACCTCCTACCAAAGAAAAATCATAGCCTCCCCCTTGTAAGGTGTGCTTCTAGAGCATATAATTCTTACAAAAGGGTCTATAAAACTATCAGTAGTTTGGTCAGTACTATATTGGTCTTTTAGAATGTCTCAAAAAACATAGCATAAATTTTCTGAGAAGTCTTGCAGCAAAACCTGTAGTAAAGATCAACAGGTTGCCAGTGTCCCATAAAACACACCTTGTTGAAAGTGAGCTGTCCTCCACTGCACTTTCAGTCTTTCCTCAACCTGGAAAAGATTTCCTACTTTCAGTGGCAAACTCCTTCTCATCTTTAGAACTCTAACCACCATCTCTTTGAAGCCACTCTCAGCTGCTCTAGTTGAACACAATGTTTTCTAGCACTTTGTATAGATATTTATGTTAAATTTCATCACATGTAATTTTGGATTTACTTTTTAATCTCCCTAGCCAGCTCATGAGATCTCTGAAAGGAAAAATAATCCCTCATCTTTCTGTTAATTCTCAGAATTTGTCAAAGTCTACAACAGGAGCTCAATAGCATGTGTGGAATAAATTGATTAAAGAGTAAATGATCTTTCACAAAAATCAAATATGTAACATCATATGGTGTCTTCCTATCACTCCAGTCAGGAATCTCTGCTGACAAACAAAAGCAATCAATAACAATATTTGGGAGTAGGAAAACCAACTACTATGGTCTCTAGAACAGTCCAGTTAAAATGGGCAACAAATGTGTAAAGAGAATCTATACCAGCCAAGATTTTGCCACACGAAGCCTTTATGAGAACCATTGTGTCTCTGTCCAGAGCGCTGAGATTTCAGCTGGAGAGACCTGGCTCTGCTTCAAAAACCAGGCAGAGCCAAGTAAGGCTGGAATACAAATGTTTGCATATTTTGTTATGTCTGATAGAGACTTCGGCTTCATCCAGGATCTCAGGAAAGTCACATTAAATTAGTTACAATTCACCCAGTTTAAATAAATTAAATGACTTTGTTCTGCCGAAGTTACCAAGTCTAAAGGAAGCAGCAGATGAAAGACAAAGGACTTGTCCGATGTTGGTTTTCCTCATAGCCCTACCTCTAATCACAGAGTGACCTTGGGCATGTGACCACACCCTTCTAGGCATGGACTTCTTGACCTCTGAGTTGAGTAGTTACATAATTAAGATGGAGCAGACCTTCAGTGAATCACCAGTGTGGGCAAGCACTTTCTCTCATTTAATCCTCTCAAAACCCTCTGAAGCAGGTATTATTATTCTCATTTAACACATGAGAAAACAGAGCTTAGAAAGGTAAGTGAGTTTGTTCAAGGCCACTCCATGAACATAGCATTGCCTGGCTGGGAAGTTCAATGTGTTCACAGCCAATACCACGGCTAAGGTGAGAGATAAACTTTCTCCCGCCCCCTTCCCATGACCTCTGGCTGCTGACAGCCTTCTTCACATGCATTTCCTAAGGACACTGGAATGTCATTGACACAAAGTGCCAATGTGCTATTTTTGTAATTTTCTAACATGACAAAAGTTATTTTAAATGTTCATGTAGTATAACACTAACTTATGCCTAAACTTCTCCTAAGACTCAGAGCTCCTCATAATAACTTGGTTTCTTAAGAGTCTCTTAAAGAAGAAGTTCCCAGAAGAAAGCCTGCAGCTTCTCCGCGAGTGGTCTCTTCTCCAAAAGGTGCTGCCGCAGCCTTTGCAACCTCAGGAGCCTGTTCTACTGACTTCCTCCTGTTCCTCTACTGAGGGGCTACTACACCATCACCCCCATCCAGGCAATACAGGGTCACCCACTCCAAGAGAGACAGCTGTGGAGCAGACACAAACAGTGTGACAGCCTGGCTGGAGTTGACCCTGGACAAATGGGGGAAGAGGGGGCTACTGTCCCTTTCTCACCCTGTCACACACCACTTGCGGGGTGTGTTAGCTCTGCTGCCTGGTCCTTTTTCATGTGGTTTCTGCATGAAAATGACCATAATCACATATCTAGCTTTAAGGTCTCTTCAAGTTGTTTCCATATTCTTTAGTTGATCACAATGACTGACAGTGTGCATTTTATTAGCCGGAAAGCCAAGGCTCAAGATGCTTAAGAAACTTACCTAACAGCAGCCATCCAGAAACCAACACAGCCAGAACCCACCGAAGATCCCAAGTACAAATCCTGAGCTCTTTAAAGCAACTGAGGAACTGCTCCATAAACAGCAACTTTTGCTGCTCTGCAACACATGAGACTGAACCTGCCTTCCCCTACAGCTCTTCTCATGATAACTTTTCCACATCATCACATATACATTCAATATTTTAAAGCATGATTCTGTCTGTAGGAGGAAGAACACATTTGAGGCGAGTGTAGCGTTGGAAAGGAGGCAATGTATGATGGCAATTTTAACTAGGTTAAGTGATATACCATTCATCAACATGATAGTGCGGGTAACTGTTTATTTGTAGGATTATGAAATATCACCTCTTACCTTTTTCCACTTTGCCAGGTAGCTCTTAGCACTATTTCTTTTTTAACCAGTAATTGTGGCTATTCTCTCACCTCTTTCCCATCATGCTCTCCCTCCCAATGAACATTATTATCCCTGTGCCCCACCCTGCCACACTCCAGGGTGCTCCACAATAGAATCCGATACTCTGTATAGACAAGACACCAAACCCACTTATAATGAATTAAACACTTGTGTGAAGTATTTGTATTGTATGGAGAATATACCATGAATATTGAATATCCAAAGCAGCATAGAGGAACAATAGGCAAGTTTACACAGATTGGCTAACTGAAGTGGGCACTAGCAAGGCTGCAAGGCAAGAGACCCACGGAACTGATGGCAGCTGCCTGGAGGGACAGACACATGTATTCCTGACGGGGAACCCTGAGTCCTCGGAGCAGGACTCCCAGTACCTGTCCTCACCAGGAAGGCAAAGCATGCCCATTCCTAAGATGGGGTCACAGTGAAAGTTCACAGCTGGCCCTCTTGCCCTCTGCCTGGATAGATTCGCCAGCTGCAAAGCTCAGGGCCAGGCCCCCACCAAAGAAGTTACATACCATAGGCGGCAGAAAAGTCTAGAAGTGGCTAAATTGACAATGCTGGAATGCAAGTCAACACTTACACCATAAGGGAGATTAAAAAGTGAACTTCACCTGTTCTTGCTACTGAGTCCCAGCTCAGGATGCTTGAGTTTCTAACCTGAGAGAAAGGTGGGACCCAAGTAACCATGCACAGGTGGCCAGGGTGATGGAATAAGCTTTACCAGGTCCCTCCTTGGCTGGAGGGGAAACCGAGAAATGAGACACTCAGGAGAGGGCAGGCTGGGGACAGACTCAGAGCATGGCCCTGCCTAGCTTGGGGCCAACTAGAGTGCCCCAGCCGAGCTCCACCGCCTGGCCGCCCGACGCTGTCTAAAAAGCCCCTCGGAGCCCAGGAAGGGGAGAGGGCAGCCCTGTAGCCAGGCGGGACTCACCACGTCCATGATCTGCAGGAGGCTCAGGGAGAAGTAGACGGTGAGTGGTTGCGAGTCATTGGCCACGGGCCTCTCCAAGGGATTGTAGTTCTTGACCAGCTCCTTGTAAAGCTTCCTCTGGAACTCGCCTTGCAGGGACACTTAAGGAGAGAAGACCCGGGCAGGGGGCTCAGGGCAGGCCGGCGGGGGTACCCCCGACTCCCTCCTGCCGGCGTCCCCCGCCGCCCACCCGGTGCAGCCCAGACAAGCAGCCCCCGCAGCGCCCCCGCTGCCCCTCCCCGGCGGCGGGGAGATCCCAAACCTGGCCCAGGCGCGGGGCGCACAGAGGCGCCCGGGATGTGCCCGGGATCCCACGGAGGAGTGGAGGGCGGGGAGGCAGTGGCTTTACCGTGCAGGAGCGACGCGGCCAGCGCCAGCCAGACGCCTCCCGGCGAGCAGCGCATGTTGAGTCCCGGAGCTGCAGCGAGCCGGCGCGCTCCACGTCTCGGCTGTCGCCCGGGCCTGCGCCTGCGGCCACAGAGGCACCTCGCCGCTCGGCTCGCGCGCCTTTAAGGAGCCGGGCGCGCGCCCCCGCCCCGCCCGCCCCCGCGCGCCTCTCCACGTGACGAGCCCCGCCCCCGCCCCCGTCCCCGCCCCCCCATCCCTCCAGCCCGGGCCAGCGTCTCGGCGGCCACCCAGGGAACTGCAGCCCGAGGTGTGAGCGGGAGGTACTCCCGGCGCTGGGTACGCTCCGGGCACCTCCACCCCCAGTCTCCACCGAGCGGGCTCTCGGCCTCGCGCCTCTGGCCAGGCCAGGGGCTGCCCAAGGCCAGGCTCTACCTCTCCCTTGCGTTCTTTGTCCCCACTCAGCCCGCTCCCGCTCTCAGCCAGAAGCTGCGCTGGGCACTCGGGAGAAAGCCGGGACAATTCTGGGGTCCAGTCTTCCCGGACTCCCTCCTCCACGCCAGCGACCGGGTGGCAGCTATAGGGAACCAGGCTTCGGAAGTCTTGCCAACCAGACAAAACAGACCCGAGGAAGCCCCCCTCCTCCCGCTTTCCGCGAGCCCCGGTTTGCTTTCCGCACCGTTTGCTGGGCGCCAGCAGCCAGACTCTCGGCTGGGATCTGAAGTGCTGGAGGCACCCTGTCGGGGAGGAGAGATGCCGCCAATGTGTGTGATGGGATTCCCAGTGGTTACCCTAATGTATGGCTCATTCTTTTTTAAAGGAGATTAAAAAAGATTGAAAAGTTAACTCCTAACTCTTTGCTGGAAGGACAGCCAGAACTTGGTGTTCTTATCTAGGCTCTTTTGAGCCAGCGCATTGGAAAGAGTAAATGAGGAGAGGCTCTGAGAGGTCCAGGGAGTGCGGAGAGTTCTTGATGTTGAAGAGGGGGCTTGATTTTGGAAAGAGGAAGGGAGGGAGGAAGGCGCCAAGGGGCGGCTTCCAGGGTGGCTGAAGCTCCATCCCATTTGCTCCCTTCTGCTGAGCACAGCAGCGCCCTGCGTCCGCGTAGGGGGCGCTGCCACCTTCTTTCCTGCAGCCCCCGGGCATCCGAGCTCCACCAGAGCAACTCCCGTGGACCACGCAGCGGCAATGCCTGGGTTTCTGAACTGCCGAAAACCACGGGATTCTTTTAAGACTCCAAGAACTAGGGAAAGGCTCACCAAAAGGTGACTGAGCTTGACTGTACCCCAGTAGCAGGAATGGGGGACTGAGCCCAACTATTTGATTTGGAAGAATAACGCAGTATATTGCCCTTGCCATGAAGTGTCTTAAGTGTATTACTGTTAATGTACACATGTTTAAACAAAGGGTCAGCATAGGCTTTCATAACTGCGGTAAGAGCCTAGAAGAAGGATTAGCTGTTTTTGGAGAGTGGTTAATAGAAGAGGTGACAGCTGAACTGGATTCACCTCAAAGGATAGCAGTCATTCTGCCAGGAGAAAGGGACGCCAGGGGTCCCTGGAGAGCAGACCGGCGTGCCCTTAGCTTCATCTGGCTCTTGAGTCCCCCTACCACTTCTAGCAGTCCGGACATCACAGAGCAGGCACTTGATGAATTAATTATCTACAGGGGATTAGTTGTTGGTAAAGGGAGAATTAGAAGAAGGGAAATAAAACCCAGTAGCAGAATAGAGAAAGCCCATGAAGCATCAGTGAAAAGATTCTCAGTGGCACATCCCCTGCACTGGTCATGGGACTGTAACAACACTCTTCTACGAGCGCTGAAAGTACCTAAGAGCCCTGTCTTCCCTTCTAGAAGAGCATGAGCCCATGGGGCCAAGGGAATTTATTGATTTTTTCTGGAGTATGGCTATCAGGATCACATTCCTGAAACCAGAACTGCTTCTTTACCGCCATTGCACCCCATAATATCAGAAACCTAGAAATAAACCATTTTCAGGTGAGACAAGCAATTCGTAAATATTTATTTGTCCTCTGTTCTCGCTAGGCACCTGGAGGACCTGCAAGCGCAGTCCACTCACTCAGCTTACAATGTAGGACTGCTGGAAGTTGGAAAATAAGCTTCAGTCTCCCCTGTGCCATAGGTAGGTCTGTGAGTTTGGCTGTATTGACTCCCATCTATGGGACTCAGGTTTTTCATTTGTGAAACGAAGAAAAGAGCAGAACATTCTTGGAATAGAGCTGACGGGACTGTATAGGTTCTACACTCACTCCCGTTCCCAAAGCAAAAAAAAAAAAAACAAAAAAAAACAAAAAAAAAACAGCAAATAAAACATAGCAGGATGTGAATACATGCCTGGGCATACCAAAAATATAGATTCTATGGGTAAGAGGGAAATTTTAACACACTCTCAGGAGGTAAGGTGACCTTGGGCTTGGGGCCTATGAGAGGTGGGGAACTGGAACTGAGATATTCACATAAATCCAGAAATTGGTGTAATCTCCTTTCCAGTGTAAAAAAGACCAGGAAACCTCAACCATTAGCCAGGGAAGTGGAAGGAAGCATGTTTTCTGCTTGGGCTCCGGATGGGGGAAAAAGATAATTACACATTTAAAAACCAAAAAGTGCATTAGGCTTAGGTGTGGAGTCCAAATGTGTATTATATGGTTTAGAATTCAAGAATTCCTCTGGAGGAAGATTTAGTAACTTTACACACATGGGACTCCAAAAAATGCCCCCAAATCGCAATATCCATGAAAATCAGTTCAAAATAAAAAATATAAACCATTCAAGGAAACAAACTCTACATCATCCTAGGCCATCGTCAATTAGGGAAAGTCAGTAGGCAGAGTAAACAGGAAAATGTGTGCCTCACAATTTGAGATAATAGGACACTGAAAAATAAACTATAAAATTTGTGGCCGGGTGGCTCACACCTGTAATCCCACCACTTTGGGAGGCTGAGGCAGGTGGATCACCTGAGGTCACGAGTTCGAGACCAACCTGGCCAACGTGGCCAAACCCCGTCTCTACTGAAAATACAAATATTAATCGGGCATGGTGGCAGGCACTTGTAATCCCAGCTACTCGGGAGGCTGAGGCAGGAGAATCGCTTGAACCCGGGAGGCAGAGGTTGTGGTGAGCCCAGATCATGCCATTGCACACTAGCAGGGCAACAGAGCGAGACTCCATCTCAAAATAAATAAATAAATAAAAATAATAAAAATAAATAAAATTTGTACGTTTAAAATGGTAAAGCTAGTTATCATAGTGGGTGATGTCCATTGCAGTGATAATCCTCAATTCTCATTGGCTTACCACAATGAAAGTTTCTTTCTCCCTCACACCACAATCAAAAAGTTCAGATGACTTTGCTGGGTGGCTACCTTCCTCCCCAGGTCTTTCAGATATAAAAGATCCTTTCATTAAATGGAGAGTGAATGTAAGACAAAAGCACTATTCAAAGAATAAATTCTGAGAACTTTTCAATATTTACAAAAGACATCAAACCACAAATTCACTTGGTCATGGATTTGATTACTGCTGAATTTAATTTGTTAGTAGATTTTAAAAGAATTTTCTATGTATATCCATGAAGGATATTGCTCCATCATTTTCATTTCTTGTAATTTTATCATCTAATTTTGGTAGAAGATCTTATGCTTCCTCCTCCTCTACTTTCTGAAATAGTTTGTGCAAGATATAATTTGTTTCTTAAATGTTTGATGAAACTAACTAGTGGAACTATCTGTGTCTGGAGTTTTTGTGGAAAGATTATTTTCTTAACGTTAACCCAATTTTTAATAGATATGTAGTACAATTCAGTTTCTATTTCTTCTTGGGAAAAGCTTACTAAATTGTATTTTTTTTTACAAATGTGTTTATTTCATTTAAGTTATTGCATTTATTGACATAAAGTTGTTTATTATGTGCCTTTATTACCTTATGTATATATATAGGCTATGTGGTGATACCTCCTCTTCATTACTGTTTCAAGGAATTTGTGTTTTCTCCTGTTTGTTCTTGATTACACTTACTAAGGTTTAACGATATTACTAATCTTTTCATGGTACAACTTTTTGCTTTTTCTCAATTTTTTTTTTTGAAATTTCAGTGATTTCTATTCTTGTGTTTCTTATTACCTTCTACTTATTTGGGGTTTAATTTGCTCATTTTTTACAAACTTCTTGAAGTGTAAACTGAGGTTGCTGATTTTAGATTCATTTCAAATGTAAGCATTTAAATATGCAAATTTCCATCTGAACACTACTTTAGTTGCCTCCTCCTAATTTTGATATGTTCTATATTCATAACCTCCAGTTCAAAATATTTTCTAACTTCTTTGTGATTTCTTCTTTGACCGATGATTTACTTCAAATTGTGCTTTTCTGTTTCCAAAACAGCACAGTTTTTTCTAGATATATACTATTCTTAGATATTGTCAGTCTCTCAAAATATTTGTTCTAATTACACTCCCAGCACAATGTATGAGTGATCTAGTTGCCTCACATAATTCATCCACTTGTCTTTGACTTAATTTCAGATTTTTTTGGCTTATGGGTAATTTGATCTCAATGTGGCTTTTAATTTGCATTTCCCTGATGACTAAAGAAGTGGAGCAGCTTTTCATGTGTTTATTGTTATTTTGGATATCCTTTGTGAACTGATTTTTCAGGGTTTTTTGTCCATTTTTCTATTGTGTTGTCTGCCTTTTTCTTATTTATTTGTAGGAATTAATTCTTCATTCAGAAGGAGTCCTTTGTCAGACATTGATATTGAACATAATTTTTAGAACTCTGGCTTCATTTAACTTTCTTAATGGTATCTTTTGGTGAATAGATATTCTTAATCTCAGTGTAGTCCAATTTATCAACGCTTCCAATCACAGTTTGCATTTTTTGTGTTGTGCTTTAGATCTCTTTGTCTACCCCAAGGTCGTGAAGGTAACATCCTATGTCTTCCTAGAGTTTTATGGTCTTACCTTTCATGTTGATATTTGTCACCCATCTAGAATTAAATTTTGTGTATGCTATGAAGTATGGTAGGAATAGGGATTCATTGTCTTATATGAATATTAAATTGACTCTATACCACTTAATGAAAAAGTAATCTTTCTTCCTGCATTGCCATGTCACCTTTGTGCATCACATAACAGTGTATATATGTGGGTCCAGTCTATTTGCTTAGACTTGCACCAATATCACACTCTCTTAATGACTATAGCATTATAGTAGCTCTTTATACATGGTAGTGTTAATTTTCCTCCTTTTTAGTATTTCTTCAAGATTGTCTTGAATATTCTTGACCCTTTTCATTTTAATAGAATAAAATAATTTATTTTATATTAACTTTACTGGGATTCTATAGAATTTTTAGATCAACTTGGGAAGGATTGATGTCTTTACTGAGTCCTGTAATATACAAACGTGATGTTTTCTTCCACTTATTTAGATCTTGTTTAATTTCTCACAATAATATTTTGTAGTCTTCAACACAGGTATTTTGGCACACTTTCATAAGAATTATTCATAGACATTGGTGTCTTTTGATGCTATTAAAATGACAGATTTTTTACATTTAATTTTAAAACTGTTGCATGTATAGAAATATACATGATATTTGCATATTGGTCTTTTATCCAGTGAAGTTCTAAACTCTCCTATTGATTATAATGGTTTTTCTGTAGATTATCCGTCCCAATCCTTATTCATCTATTTCTTTTTCTTGGCCTGTTTCACTCACTATGACACTAGCTGGGACCATCAAATTCAATACTGAGTAGAAGTCATAGCATACTGCTTTGTCTCATTTCTGGTCTCAGGCAGAAGGCCTTCAATAATTCACCACTATATTCGTTTCCTAGCACTTCCATAACAAAGTACTGAAAACTCGGTGGCTTAAAACATATAAATGTATTGTCTTACAGTTCTGGAGGCTAGGAGTCTGAAATCATGATGTCAGCATGCCCCTGCTGAGACTCTGGGGAGAACTTTCCTCGTCTCTTCACAGTTTCTGGTGGTGGTTGGCCATCATGGATGTTTGTTGGCTGGCAGCTATGTCTCTCCCATCTCTGCCTTCATCTTCCATTGTTGTTCTCCCTGTGTGTCTGTGTTCAAATTTCCCTCTTCTTATAAGGACACCAGTCATATTGGATTAGGCCCCAACTTAATGTCCTCATCTTAATTTGATTGCATCTGCAAAGACCCTATTTCTAAATAAAGTCACATTCATAGGTATTAGGGGCTAGGATTTCAACATATCTTTTGTTGGAGACATAATTCAACCCACAACAGCCACTAAGTAAAATGTTAGCTATAGTTTTTTGTTGTTCTGTTTTGTTATTTTATTTTTTAGATAAACCTTTTCACAAGGAGGAAATTCCCTTCTATTCCTACTCAGATAACAATCCTTAAAAATCACAAATGAGGGTAGAGTTACATCTTTGTAAAGTGTCTATTAAGATGAGATTGTTTTTATCCTTTTTTCATTAGTATTTTGAATTGCAATGACTTTTTATTGTTGAGTTAACCCTACACACAATACAAAGATCTACATTATTGATCAGATTTATATGAAATTCAAGTCTTGTTCAGCACCAAGCTTTACTAATGATTAGTAAAAGATGCAAGCAAGAGCAGCAACATGCACCACTTCAATATCTGGGAGACCCTGAGCTCTTCACACTCAGCTCTCTGTGTCTCCTTTTTCTACTCAGAGTGAATTTTGCCTTCAGAGTGAGGAGTGCAAACTGCATAGAGGACAAGTTAGTGCAAGAAAGCAACTGGGTTTAGTTATCACTCAGCTTTTATATCCTCCAAGGCAGGCAGCCCTGTACTGGCTACATGACTAACTTCTATTGTCCAATGCAGAACTGCAGCTCGTAAATTGCAGATCTATTTATAACAAATATTATAGACAAGCTAGGTGTTTTGTCCTGAAAGTGCTCCTGGATCCATAGTCTGTACCTAGCAACCCTTGCTGAAGTTTCACTTACGGTGTAGCTGGTGTGTTTCATCAGCCGTCCTTTGCTAGGAGTTTGGGTCACAATTAAAACTGTCTCAGAGGCTGGAGGAATGAGTTACAGACACACTGTTTACCCATTCCTTCCCATTTTGCAATTCTGAAAAGTAACACATTTGGTTATTATTTTTAAAAGTATTGTTGAATTTGTTTCACAATTATCTCCTTAGAACTTTACATTTATCTTTATCAAAGGAAACATGCCTCATATTTTCTTATTTTAATAATAAGCTTGTAAGATTTTGGTACCAAGATTATGCTGGCCTCATAAAATGAGTTGGGAATTATTCCCCATTTTTTATATTCTGAAAGTGTGTAAGCTTTGTGTTATGTATATATTTTCTCCAAAAGTTATTAGAAAAATTAACCAGGGAAGTCATCTAACTTGATATTTCCCTGTCAGAAGGCTTCATTTTGTAATTTTTTCCATGGAAACATATGAACAGAAAAATCAAGTCATAAGTTTCAGAAGTTTGCTTATCTGAGCACTTTTTAATACCACTTTGAAGATGTGTTAGATAATGCCAACATCTCATCATTGATGTCTGTTGCTTGTCTTTTCTAATGAAAGTTGAAGGTTTTTTTGTTTTATTCTTCAAATGCAATATAATTTTGGATTTTATACTGCACATTTTGAATATTATGTTGTGAGCCCCTTCTTGTTTAAATTTTGTTCAAATCCTATAAAAAGTGTTACTATTTATGTTTTAGCCTTCTGTAGGCTGTGGTTCCCATATCAGGCCAGTTTTCGAAGCCTTTCAGTAATATTCACATTTGTCCTAGACCTGTACCACTTACTTAGTGGTCAGTTAGGAAAATGAGCAAAGGTCTACTGGCTATCTCAGTTCTCAGAGTCTTTAGTGTGCTGATTATGATCAGGACTGTGAATGTACAGGTCAGAGGTGAGTCCTTGAGCTGATAAACAGTGTTATGGGGTCACTTTCCCAAGCTTGCGCTCTGCTATCTCTCCAGTACTTTCTGGTTTCCTGACCTTCTCTTTTTCAGTCCTCTGACCAAAAACTGCTCTGTTCCATAATTACAGTCTATACCGGGCCCATACAGTGCAGAACAGAAAGAAAAATGGAAACACCTGGGATTGACTCTACCCTCTTGGAACTATAGCCACACCAAATGCTAGAGGGAGATTCCCTCTCTCAGATACTTAACTCCTTCAGTTTTTCCATTGCTGGCTGTCTTTGCTCTTCCTGCTACCCACATTATACAATTGCCTGGGGCTAGGGTGCAAGAACTGAGGAAATGGGGAGAAAAAATGGGGGATTTCTCTCTCTTTCTCTACATTTCCCTTTTCTGGTCTTTGAGCCTGAGCTAGAGAGTTTCTGTTGTTTCTATTTCCGCACCTCAGTGCTTAGTTCTGGTTTTCTAACTGCGTTGAATTCAGACTGGGAAATAACGCAAGGAAAAAAAGATTAAACTCGCCAGCAGTTCATGTGTATTTTGATGGTATTCTGATGGTTTCTTCCTTTGATCTGCCTACTGATGTTTATTTTGCAGAGTTCCCAAATTGCTGCCTATGAATTCTGTTCAGGTTTTATAGGTTGTATTCAGTAGGAAAGGGTGTGTTTACCCCATCTTCCCTGGAACTAGATCTGGAAAGTTACTTTTCCGTTTTTTTTTTTTTTTTTTGAGATGGAGTCTCACTCTGTCACCTGGGCTAAAATGCAGTGGCGTGATCTCGGCTCACTTAAACCTCCACCTCCCAGGTTCTAGCATTTCTCCTGCCTTAGCCTCCCGAGTACCTGGGATTACAGGTGCACGCCAAGGTGCCGGCTAATTTTTTGTATTTTACTAGAGGCGGGTTTCACCGTGTTGCCCAGGCTGGTTTCAAACTCCTGAGCTCAGGCCATCCACCCACCTTGGCCTCCCAAAGTGTTAGGATTACAGGTGTGAGGCACCGCACCCAGCTGGAAAGTTACTTTTTATATCTGCTATTTACTTAAGATTACCAGTATAATTTATATAGGCATAGTTAATTAATTTTATCAACATATGGTTTCTTAATTCACTCTCTTTCCCCCTACGTTTACTCTTTCTATAAACATATATCTTTACTTTTTAGTGAGTCTCTTTATATGGTAAGTTCTCTGCCATCGTATGTCTATAAATGTCTTTATTTTCCATTTGAATTGTGTATTTTTTGTCAGAATAAAGGAAAACGGAAAGCAGTTTAGACCAAGTGTACCACTTGATGAGTTATTACAAAATAAATGTCCCTTTAACTCCACCCATAAATTAGAGAGAACTTGGCAGCAACCACAGAAGGTTCAGGCCACCTTCCCAAGACAAGCACCATCCTCCCCTAACAAGACTAACTCCTGCTCTAGCTTTTCTGGAAATACCCTTATTACTTTTTATTATTATTTCATTATCTAGTTGAGGAGCCCTAAACAGTGAGTTTAGGTTAGCCTGATTTTTAAAAATTTCTCTCTGTATCTTCCTAAACTGAAAGATTTTTTTTTCATTTTAGAAACCAATCCTGTAGAGTCAAGATTCTGCTGATTCTGCTGATTGCATTCCCATGGTAGAGTTTAATGTTTCATTTATCCTCTAGATTTCCTGCAGATTAGTAGTTGAATCTATAAACTTAATCTGATTCAGATTTCACTTTGGGGAGGAAGATTACACCATCGGTGCTGTTGTGTTCATTGTGTTCATTGTCAAGAGGCACACAATATATACTTATCTTTCTTTCTTTCTTTTTTTTGAGACGGAGTTTCGCTCTCGTTGCCCAGGCTGGAGTGCAATGGCACGATCTTGGCTCACTGCAGCCTCCGCCTCCTGGGTTCAAGTGATTCTCCTGCCTCAGCCTCCCAAGTAACTGGGATTATGGGCACCCGTCACCATCCCCGGCTAATTTTTGTATTTTTGGTAGAGATGAGGTTTCACCATGTTGGCCAGGCAATCTCAAACTCCTGATCTCAGGTGATCTGCCCACCTTGGCCTCCCAAAGTGCTAGGATTACAGGCATGAGCCACTATGCCTGGCCTTATCTTTCTTTTTTTGTAATTAGTAGCAATAGATTCTTAGAAGCTAGTACTTAGATTTGTTTGATTTGTAGGTGTTGCAAAGTGGCAATGCTCCAGTTCTATCATTCCCTCTTCCTTTAAAGATATCCGCACATCTGCCATTAGCTTCTGAGTGGTAGTTTGCACAGGAAAGGAAGTATACATGTTCCCTTTATTTATGAGATTTTAACACAGATACCTGGTCCCTTAGTGTCCTATAAAGTTAACTAATCAGGTAGGGGTGTGTGTGTGTGTGTCCAGGTGTCCATGCCAACTGCCAACTTCAGATAGCATAATTCAACAAGAGTCGCAGCTATGGAGCTACAAAGTCCATCCCAGTATTTGTGATAGGCCATGTCTCACAACATCCTGCTTCTTGTTCCCAGGAAAACTGTTCCTAAGAGATGCTGAACTCTGCTGACAACCAACTTGGGCTCAAGGGCTCTCAATGCTCCTGCTGAACCTTTCTTCCTGGCAGTCCAAGACTCTTCAATGCCATGTTTCCTCCCTCCCTCCTTCACTTGGGATCAGATACACATTGCAGTCTGATAGATCTCCAGACTTCTCTAGCATGCGCCCTACTTTTTTCCCACAGGGTCTTTTCCTCCAATAAAATCCTTTCACATTTAATTCTATATTGGTGGATCTGGACTAATACAGTGTATCATTATGAGCTCACAGAGAACCCTGTTTGGTGTGTTTTGATTACGGTCGTTATCCTTACTGATCCTCAAGTTGCCCCATGGTTTGGTGAGTGCCTGTTCTACAGGTTGACTCCCAAGTTCCTTTAGCGCAATCCTGCTGGTCTTGGCTGGTGCCCTTGCTCTCTGTGGTACGATGATATTCTGAGCTCCTCTGTTTATTTTCTATATTTCCCACCCCAGACCTAGAATTAGCTATTTCAACTATTTCTCTAAGAAACTCTGGTACCTTTTAGTTGCAAATGTTATTTTTGGGCCTCGTCAGTGGACAGATTTAGGATACCTATCTATCTATGAAAAATATCCTATGAGTTCAAATTTAGGATTTCAGAGTGCTTACTTAATCTTTTCTATTTCACACTTGCAGCTTCTAAAAGTCTTGGTTCTGAAGGGCCCTGGGGATTCAAATAACACATGTATTGCTTATTTTCTTCATCTCATATTTCAAGCAAAACATAAGGAGAGTAGCAATAGCAACATTGTCACCAACATGATTATAGAGAAGCATTTAAAAATTGTTTTGCATATGCTTTTTCCATTTTCTCTTTCCCTTTTTAGAAAATTCTGCTTTCCACCCATTGTCAAAGTATATAACTATTACATGCTCTACTCTCCCTCATATCGCAGATTTCGTCTTAGCTCTCCATGGAAATATATATTTAATGCTCAGCCAGTCTTTATGCCACTGTCTCTCCAGTAATGTTCATTATTTAAACCTCATTCTCAGTACATTATGAAGAAAGGGCCCATGGAAAATATTCTGTATGTTATTCCATATTGATGACAGTTTGCTCCCTTTATACTTGAAAGTCAGTTTGTTAGGATATAAAATCCTCAGCTCATTTTTTAAAAAGTTGAGTATCTTTATAATGTTCCTTTTATTCTGGCACAAAATGCTGCTCTTGAAAGTCTGATAAGCTAATTTTCTCTTTGTTTTACATCACTTTTTTCCTTTTTTTCCCCTAAATATTTAAAAAGAAAGAGAAAGGACATTTTCTTTTTAACTGTGTTTTGGTGTTGGTTGTTCTGAGTTGACTTTCCCAGGTATGCAATTTATTATTTCATTGTTTCAAATCTCTTGTTTATAAAATATTTTTTTCAACAAAATGCCATTCTTAGTACTTGTTTTCTTCCCTTATTTGGGATTTCTTCTTGGACCTGTATGTTGTGTTTTTTGTGGTTGGGGTGGTAGTCTTTTATATTATCACTTTCACTCAAATTCTTGGCATATCTTTAAAAAATTTTTTTTAAACTGTCCTCTTTTTCCACTTTTCTTAAGACACTATGTTGTGATTATTCGCATTTCTGTTGTGTTTATTTATAAGATTCTGTTTTTAAGTTTATTTTTCCCTGAATTCTATCTTTTTTTTTTTTTTTTTTTTTTTTTTTTTTGAGACAGAGTCTCACTCTGTCGCCCAGGCTGGAGTGCGGTGGCGCCATCTCGGCTCACTGCAAGCTCCGCCTCCCGGGTTCATGCCATTCTCCTGCCTCAGCCTCCCAAGTAGCTGGGACTACAGGTGCCCACCACCATGCCCAGTTAATTTTTTGTATTTTTAATAGAGACAGGGTTTCACCGTGTTAGCCAGGATGGTCTCGATCTCCTGACCTCATGATCCACCTTCCTTGGCCTCCCAAAGTGCTGGGATTACAGGCGTGAGCCACCACGCCTGGCCCCTGAATTCTATCATTTAATTTACACTGTTCTTTTGTTTTTTCCATCTATTTTCTTAGACAATTACTTTAAAAGTTATAGGATATAGATTTCTATAAACAATCAAAGTGTATCCCTCTGTTGGTACACTTTTAATCCTTTCATCAAAATGTCGTTCTGGCAAGCATTTAACATTTTTTCCATAGAATGTTTGCATTCCTTTGATTTATTTCCCTGTTACTATCTTTACATGACATTATAGTTCTAAATTTTCAGAATGGAGGCATGATTTAGAAGCGTTTCTTGTATCACAGCTCTCGAGTACTGTGGTAGTTTTGTAATGTGCCTATTTGACAAGGCCAAACTGTTTTTCAGAATTCCCTTCACTGTATTTTTTTGGCTCGACTAGAGAGGTTTTTGGGGGAGCTTTGGAAGGAAGACCTGGAACACCAGCCATTTTGAAGCTTACAGGTATTGGAACTGATCTGCTGACTCACTTTCTTGGTGTGAAGCAGTGGCTGGGCTTCATCCTCCACTGGATCTTCCTTCAGCTTCTGCATCTTCTGGGCCAAGCATGTGTTTAGCTCCATGACACAGAGCCACAGCTTCTGCAGGATACCACTTCCACTAATGTCGGGGGCAGCAAGTCTGACCCAGATGTCATCCCATCCTCACAAGGTTCCAACATGTGCTTGTGAGTTCCTGCTTGCTGTTGCTCTTCCCCACTGTACAGACATCTTCCCTTCCTGGCTAACTGCCTCGGTGTGAACTCCAGACTGCAGCTCCAGAGGCAAATATAACAGCTTCTCAAAGGCTGGTGAAGCAGCTCCTAAGATTTGCTGTTACACAATCATGCACACAAACACGCACACAGACATGCTAGTGGTGCTGCTTCTCTGATTGAATTGTGACTGCTAACACAAGTGACCTGTTGTTTTGAGAAAGTGTTCGAAAACATGGCATTTTGCTTTCTAGGAGTCTGACTCTATTCGCCTCCCCAGTCATAACTAGATTTTAATTCCCGTTTTCTCTATTGTTATCTCCATCCAGTTCAATTTGAACTCTGCCCTTCCAGTTTCCTCCTATTTTGGGGCTTTGTCCTGAAGGGAGGTTTGCTTATTATTACTGAGCGTTTTCAGGACCTTGTCTGCTCTGCTGTCCTTTCTGAGATATTCTGGCTGTCCCTGGCTTTAAGAATGAGCAAATCCTTCCCAATTCCAGCTGCTTTCAAAAGTTGGCCTTCTGGGGATTTCCAGAAAGTAGCCATTGGCAGGGTATATTAGTCAGGGTTCCCTAGAGAGACAGAATTAATAGGATAGATGTATATATGAAGGGGAGTTTATTAAGGAGTATTGATTCACATGATCACAAGGTGAAATCCCACAATGGCCGTCTGCAAGCTGAGGAGCAAAGAAGCCAGTCCTAGTCCCAAAACCTCAAAAGTAGGGAAGCCGACAGTGCAGCCTTCAGTCTGTGGCTGAAGGCCCAAGAGCCCCTGGCAAATCACTGGTGTAAGTCCAAGAGTTGAAAAGCCGAAGAACTTGGAGTCTGATGTTGGAGGGCAGGAAGCATCCAGCACAGGAGAAGGATGAAGGCCAGAAGACTCAGAAAGCTAAGTCCTTCCAAATTCTGCCTGATTTATTCTAGCTGTGCTGGCAGCCAATTAGATGGTGCCCATGCAGATTGAGGGTAGGTGGGTCCACCTCTCCCAGTGCACTGACTCAAATGTTAATCTCTTTTGGCAACACCCTCGCAGACACACCCAGGAACAATACTTTGCATCCTTCAATCCAATCGAGTTGACACTCAATATCAACCATCACACTGGGCTTGCCATGTAATTTTTGTGAGACCCAATGTAAAACAAAAATGTAAAACCCTTGTTCAAATTAAGAAAGAAAAAATGTTTTCCCTTTTTTCTGTGATCTCTCTCCGAACCTGTTCTGGTGACTTTTATTTGCTGTTTAATGTTGTACTCACTTGAGCCCAGGAATACCTGTGGGGTGAGTGCAAACCTTTATAGGCCCCAAAGCCCCAATCCACAGTTCCCTTCATTGGGGCGCACATGCCCAACCCCAGGCCTCCTGGTGCCAGGTCCCCACAGGAGATGAAGCGTGGCTGAGGTCCTTGGGCAGAGGCAGGGAAGCAGAGGGCTGAGAACACATTATGCAGAGGCAGGGAGGCAGTGAGACCCAGGGCCACACAGGTGCTGAGTCTCCAAACCCCTGGTGCATGCTCCATGTACTATTGGACAAGTTTAAAGATGAACTCATTAAGAATTTCTAGACAGCAACTGCTGATCAATCACTAACTTCCCAGTGAGAGCCCCTTCTGGGCACTGGTGGCAGGGCCTTAAAGTCAGGCCTGCCTTCTAGTCAGTCATACTGAAGGCCTCAGGCCTGTCAGACAACCATTGTTCTCTCTTCTGCCAGAGCCGTGCATGTCTTTTGGAGGTCAGTGGTTCATATCTCTCCTCTTGTGTTTTGAGCTCTTAGGGACACTGGGTTATCTAGCTTTACCGTAGGAGATAGCTACTGAATTTGTGTTTTGCTGTCTCCATTTCTGTGTGTTCATGGGGGCGCCTAGAGAAATTCAAAAACAATACTGCTACTTGTACCATCTTCCAAAAACCCTTGAAAAATTTTTTAATCTGTATATAAAATTCTCGTTTGATACTTGTTTATATTCAGTCCTTTTGAAGATATTATTCACAATGTTCTGACAATTGCTTTTGCAAACTCTATGACCATTCTCTGTCATTCCTAGGTAGCTACCTTATCTTTTCTCTTCAAAAGCTTTTAAGATTTTTTTTTCCATCTTTGGGTTCACTAAGACATGCCTTGGTGTGTATGTTTTTATTTATCTCACTTGATACTCCTAGTCAATTTTAATTTGAAAGCTCCCTTACCTTACAAAATATCTGAATTCTCTGTTGTAAAATTGCTTTTCTGCCATTTCCTTTGGTTTCTTATTCTGAAATTCCAGCCAAATTTATGTTGGAAACTTTTACTTTTCCTTTGCTTTCTAATCACTGTCCTTTCATTAACTTTTATTTGTCTCTAACTCTGAGGTTGGTGGTGGGTGTGTGGACTGTATTTCCCTATTTGCATGGGATAGTTTGGTCCCTGCATGTTGTCCCTGTGAAATTACTATGCCCTTTTCACTTTCAAAAATTTCCCTGTTTAGAAGGTCCTCACTATGATCTATGATCGGTGATCCTCACTTTTACTTTGAATTCATTAATCGTCTAAAATGTATTCATTCTGTCCATTGAGGTTTATAAATGTCATTGTCTATATGTTTTCACTTTTATTATTTTTAATTGTTTGAGTCCACTTAATCTTATTTCATTTCCACCTGTTTTGTTTCTAGGTTGCCTCTTTCCTGGTCCTTAGCCAAGGGAAGCAGGCTTTTGTTGAGACTTTTTGTTTTGTCTGTACCTGTTGGCAGTGTTTGGAATATGCAAGGCAGAAATAAATCCCAGGGAGCTCGCTGCTGAGTTATTTTTCTGTCTTGACATCCCTAGTTGGTCTCCCTTTTTCTCTCTCCCCTTCAGCATCTGATGTTTGTTTTCTGTATAATGTTCAGGGCTTAGCTGGAGAAATGGGGAGAACTCTGTCATTCCATTTGGTTCCAGAACTAGTTGCCCCTGCTGCCTATTTTTATGATGTTATTATTTTCATTAGTTTTTTCAGTGAAAATATGCTTTATTTATTGGCATTTTGTGGGAAGAGGCTAGACTTTCTTAGCATAAGAATTCCTTATGTGTTTGGGAACTTTATTTTCCATGTCCCTCTCCTCCCTATTCTACTATACCTAACAATTTTGCAACTGACAATATCTACATCCTTGGACCCTCAGTCCGAAACCACATTTCATCTTATTGAGTCCAGTGTGTGTTTCTCTGTGAACCTGGGGGCATTGCATATACCATCCCCAGGTCAGCAGAGGCCAGGTCCATGTCACGGTTCAGTGCTCCCAATTGGGGTTCACACTTCCCAGCTGTCCCAGGAAGCAGCAGCTTCTCCCCACCCTTCAAGAGCAGGAGGCTGTGGGGGCAGGAGGTCATTTTAAGCACTGAGATGGCTCACTTCCCATTCTTCCTGGGTGCCAGAGGCTTCCATCAGCTCTGCACCTTCTGCTTTTCTAGATTTCTCAGCCACAGATATGCTTTTCCTGTTTTACAGCCTGGTTACACATTTTTAGGTTTTATTCCCATGCATATTTTATCTATGTGATTAGAGAAGAGGGAGCCTTCAGCACAGGCTCTTTCAGTGCTGCTTTGACTTGAAGTTGAGATTCCACATTTAGCCCATCAAATAAGGAAAGATGAAGAATTTTGATGAAGGCCAAAGTCTGAGGGGCCTAAGAAAAGGTGCACTCACATGCACGGTTGTTAGGAGAGGAATTGAGAATATACATGAAAATTTGAATTTGCATCCTATTTAACACAATAATTTTATAAATTAGCCTACAGAATACAGTGAGTAATATATACATTTAAGATATATGTTAAAATATTTATTACAGTTTTGTTTACATTAACAAAAAAGAACAACACATTTCCTAAAGCCCATTGATGTGGTTTGAATGTATGTCCCCTCTAGATCTCATGTTGAAATGTAATCCCCAGTGTTGGAGGTGGTGCCTGGTGAGAGGTGTTTGGGTCCTGCGGGCAAAACCCTCATGGCTTGATGCTGTCTTCACAATAGTGAGTGAATTCTTGCAGGATCCAAAAGAGTGTAGCATCTCCCCTCCCTCTCTAGCTGCTGCCCTTGCCATGTGAAACACCAGCTTCCCCTTTGCCTTGTGCCATGACTGTAAGCTTCCTGAGGCCTCACCAGAAACCAAGAAGATGCCAGCACCACACTTCCTGTACAGCCTGCAGAACTGTGAGCCAAATAAACTTCTTTTCTTCATAAATTATCCCGCCTCAGGTATTTGTTTATAGCAATGCAAAAATGGCCTAATGCACCCATCATGAAGAGACAAGTGGATAAAGGATGGCATACCCATGAACTAGAATGCTTTGTAACCTTAAAAGAGGGACATAAATATGTACACACAGATAAGTGAATATACACAAAAAACTACATATTAACAAAGTTTATGAAACATAGAATATTATCTCATTTGGGTAAAACAGTTCTAAAAGCCAATTAAATAACTGTTGGCAGTCATTAATTGTAGTGATTGGAAATGAGGTAAGAGGCACTTTTACCTTTGTACCCTTTCATAATGTTTGCAGGTTTATTAACATACCCTTAATTGTGCTGTTATATTAAAAACTAGCCCTTATTGCTGGTGGTAATGTAAAATGGCATAGGTACTCTAGAAAATAGTTTGGCAATTTCTTATAAAAGTAAATGTATGATTAGTACAGACACAGCACTTGCACTCCTGGGCATCTATCCCAGATAAATGAAAACTCATGTTCACACAAAAACCTGTAGACACATGTTCATAGTTACTTTACTTTTAATAGCCCCAAACTGGAAACAACCCAAACATCCATCAATGGGAAAATGGTTAAATATAACTGCGATATATCACTACAGTGGATGACTACTTAGCAATGAAAAAGAATGACATTGATAAACACAAAACAGCTTGGACAGATCTTAAGGGAATTATGCTGAGTTTAAGAAAAAACAATCCTAAAAGAGTACATAGTGTATAATTCCATTTACATTTTATCCTTTAGATGGCAAAATTATAGAAATAGAGAACAGATTAGCAGGTGCCAAGGGCAAGGGATGGAGGTTGGGGGTGGACAGGTGGGTGTGGCTGTAAAAGGACAGTATGGGGGAGCCTTGTAGTGATGGAACTGTCCTGTATCTTGACTGTGGTGGAGGATGCGTAACTTATGCATGTGATAAAATTGCACAGAACAAAACACACACACACAAATGAGTACATGCATGTAAAATTGGGGTAATATATACTTTTGAGATGTTACCATTGGGAGAAACTAGGCAAAGGCTACACAACATATCTCCATATTCTTTCTTACAATTACATATGAATCTAAAATTATGCCAACATTTTTAAAGTTTAATGAAAAAAGAGCAGTTATTTAATAGTGTGATTTTCTTTTCCATACAGATTGCATGAATTTCTTTGTTGGATTTTACTAAATATTTTAGAGATTTTGTTTCTATTGTAAATTGAGTCTTACTGTCTATTACATTTTCTTAACAGTTATTACTGGTTTCAAGGGATACCATTCATTTTTATATGCTGGTCTTGGATCTGGAAATGTCTCCAGATTCTCTTTGTTGTTCTTACAGCTTGTCTATTGAGTCTCTTTTTCTATGGGTTTCCAATGCAAATAGCATTTAACTGTAAAGATGTTTGTAAGAATGCATTGAGAAAAAAACCACGTAAGTTTCTTCTTTATCTGCACTCGTAAAAAATTACACTGGTAGATTTTTCTGATAATAAAATAATATGATGTTGAATCATTTCTGATGGCATTCTTGCTTTCCTGGTATAAATGCTTCACAATCATTTTGTTTCATTAATTTAAAAATACACTCGGGTTTAATTAGCCTACTCCATTATTCCATTTCTGATTCTGAGTGTATGTTCACCCATGAAATCGGTCTGTCATTTTCTTTGCTTGTAATTTACTTGCTCTGTTTTGGTAGCAAGGTTATGAACTGACTTCATTAAATGAGTTTGGAAGCTCATCTTCAAGTTCTGTTTTCCATAACAGATTATTTAAAATATGGGTTACACATTCTTTGACAGTTTGGTAGAATTTACCCATGTAATATTGTCTGGGTTGGCAGCTTCTGGGCAAGGAGAAAATTTGATCACCATTTAAATATTTTTATTTGCTATTGGCCTTTGTAACATTTTTCTTTCTTTTGGTACCAAATTTTTTACTTTAAGCTTTTTCATAAAATTTTTTACTTCATCTAGTTTTTTTTAACTTGGTGTATAATAGTTGGACATATTTTGAGGTACATGTGACATTTTGTACCTGTATACAATGTGTAATGATCAAATCAGGGCAATCGGGACATCCATTACCCCAACCATTTATCTTTTTTGTGCATGTTGGGAGTATTATAAATCTTTCAGTTATTTTGAAATATGTAATAAATTATTGTTAACTATAATTTTTCTACTGTACTGTCAAATGCTGGAACTTATTTCATCTATCTAACTGTATCTCTGTATCCATTAAGAATTTTATATTTAGTCCTCTATAGCTGTTCATAAAATTGTTGTCAAAAATGTTTAAATCAAATTGTTTTTCAAATGTATATAAAATAAATACTTTACTCTCTAAGAGGAGAGTACTTCCAAGCCATTAATAATATCCCATTTTTTTCCCAGATACTCTTCAAATGGAATTCTTAATCTGGTTTACTTGTGCTCTTGTGGTTGAAACGTCCAACTGTCATCCTAGAGTTTTCTCTTTTCATCATCTGGGGATTCTTCTTTGATTGTTTTCTGAAATTTTTTTGGTCCCATACTTACCTCTTTCTTCTATTACTGCCACATTTTAGTACAGCAAATACTTCTAAGGAAGCGTGCACAAGAATTGGCAATCACACGCTTTGAGGCCTAGCTGAAAGCATCTTCACTGTGTCCCCATATGAGATTGACTGACTGTTATACAGAAGTCTGGATTGGATATATCTTTTCTTTAGTAGGAAGGTCAAGGCATTGTTTATTGTCTGAGGTCATTTCCACGAGTCACCTTTTTTATTCGTCTTTTTAAAATCCATAATGTTGCCTCTTCCCCTGATATTCCAAAATACCACAGTGGTTAGTTTCACGCGATTCCACATCTTACACTGTGTGCAGTGGGACCTTTCAATCTGGAGGCTTATGCCCTGAGAATCTGAGAAACTTTCTAGTATTATTTCATTGTCATTTTTCTTCCTTTTTATCTGTCCTTGCCTTTCAGAAGTGTAATTATTTGGATATTGGCCCTTCCAGAGGTATTCTTTTCCCTTATACTTCATTTGTTGTTTTGCTTTAACTTTCTGAGAGAACAATTCCACTCTATCCTCTGGCCCTTCAATCAAATATTTTGTTTTTCCCATCACACTTTTTTATTTCCAAGAATTTTTTTCTGCGTGCTTTTTAAAAGCATCCTGCTTTATTCCTTGGCCTCACTCCCCACAGGCACTTAGCTTTCCGTGGACTTAGTTTGTAACATTAAGAGATGTTACAAACTTTTAAAAGTGTGAAAGTAAACTAATGGAGCTTCTCACTTTTAAAAGTTTGTAACATCTCATATCATCTTATTTGCTCTGTCCTTTTCCACTGATGCTTTACTTTTTCTCTTTATTCTGATTTCAGTGAAATTTTAAATATAGGCTTAATCTGTCATGTTTAAAAGAAGTTTCTTATAATTAAAAAAATCTAGTACATTTATGTCAATTCCTTTCATTGATATTCCACTTATTTGCATTTTAATTTTTGGGTATAACTTTGCCAGATAGCACTCTGCATAATAATCTTCCTTTTAATAACCAGGCTTCATTTTTATAGTAATCTTCTTTAAGGAAAATTGAAACAATGGCTCTAGAAGTTTGTAAATTACTAAACAAATTCTGAAAATAAAGCACAAGTTTGGACAGTTATCCTACCTTAAAATAACACATAGTACAAAACTATTGTAATAAAAAATAATGTGCTACTAGAACAGGAGTAATAGAATAGCCTGGGCAGTGCAGGCACAGCCACCCATATATTCAGGGATACAGTGTATGATGGTGGTTGCATTACCATTCACAAGAATTTGTTTATTACTGCATAAATGGTGTTGCATAAACAGACTGAGTGCCCACTGAGTGAAATGAAACTGGATTCCTACCTTACATGTGAACAAAAATAGTATTGAAAAAGTTAAAATTCTATAAAGAAAGTAAATCTGCTAAACTAACGGGTGAAGATGCAGAATTCCTTTGTGAACTCAGCTGGATAAATCCTCCTTAACAAGATCCAAGAATCACACACACGGAAAGGAAGGATTGATGGACATCACTCACTCAGAATTTATTTCTGTGTAGCCAAGGTAAAGTTAACATACAGATAACGGATGGAGGTCTACTATTTTAAGTGCCTAAAACACACAAAGTACTTCTGCAAATCAGTATGGAAAAGGCAATCATCCAATAGAAAAAGAATGGACCATGGACATGAGAAAGCTCTTCAGGTGGAAAACCAGACAGAATACCTGCCAACCGATGCATGTATGCTTAACCTCACCATCTGAGACATGCAACTCCTAACATCATATTGCCGTACTGACATCAGAGTGGCAAAATTAGAAAATTTGATCATGTTAAATCCTAGTGAGGATGTGGAGAAATGGAAACCTTTGTTTACTTTGGAAATTGAAAACCAGTGAAGCCATTCTGGAGGGCAATCATTAAAAATTATGTATGTGTATGCCACCTAACCTGGGAATTCTTCTCCAGGATGTATCCCACAAAGAAAATCTCAGTGGTAAGCACAGAGAGACCTCTACAAAATTATGCATTCAGCCTTGGTTATGAGAGCAAAGAGCTGGGGTTAATCTGAAAGCCTTCCTTACAGAAATGGATAAGGATGTGTGTTGCACTGTTTAGATCTCAACAGTGGTCCATGTAAGGAATTAGATTTATATATATCCACATATGTGTGACTAATAAACAAAGCATTATTTACATTAATCACATGAACACACAACTACTCTATATCCTACATATATTTACATGAATATATAAAAATGGTTTGAAAAGATTCTCTTTAGATAGAATGTATGTACATTGTGAAGGTCAGGGTAGGGAGTGGAATGGGAAAAGGAATGATGGATTAAATAACTAACAGAAAGAAAAGAAGGAAGGAAAGGATGGAAGGAGAGAAAGAAAAGAGAGAGCAAGAAATAGGAGGAGAAGGGAGGGAGGGAGGAAGGAAGGGAGGGAGGGAGGGAAAGAAAGGAGGGAAGAAAAGAAAGAAAAAAGGGAACTTTGTACAGACTGATGGTAAGTGTGCCATAAACTGGGGCATATAGTCTAGTTAATTTTGTTCATCTGTAATTTTTTTTTTTTTTGAGACAGAGTCTTGCTCTGTCACCCAGGCTGGCACAATCTCAGCTCACTGCAACCTCTGCCTCCTGGGTTCAAGCAATTCTCCTGTCTCAGCCTCCCAAGTAGCTGGGATTACAGGTGTGCCCCACCACGCCTGCCTAATTTTTGTAATTTTTTAGTAGATTCGGGGTGTTACCATGTTGGCACCAGGCTGGTCTCAAACTCCTGACCTCAGGTGATCCACCCTTTCACCTTCCCAAAGTGCTGGGATTACAGGCGTGAGCCACTGCCCCCAGTCCATCTGTAATTTTAGAAAACAAAACCAGTTATAAATTGGATGCTAGTGACTAAAAGTCATCTGTGGAGAAATTCACAGCCCAGTTGGAGAGTTGGATAATACAGCTACAGAGATGACCATTATTCTCAGGACGACAGTAATCTTGCCACCCAGTGGAACATTACTATATAATATGACAGAAAATCTATCAGGGGAAAACAAGACTGTGACCTTTTAGTAATCTTCCAGGGAAAAGCGTTTTTCTATATTCCATTAGCCCTGAGATTGATGATCTGGGGTTAAAGTAGAGGATCTCAAATCATGTGCTTGGATTACACAAGAGACTGGAGATTGATGGAGGGCTGCTGGGTGCCCACATCCAACCAGCTTGCGTTCCATCCAAAGTAGAACTGAGAGTTGATTGAAGAGCCCTCGTTGTGCTGTGTCATGATGCATCGTGATGGCTGAGGACAAAGAGACAGGGGAATGAAGTGCCTAAGTCCACACTGGAAACTAGTAGTTATGAAGGCCCTATTGTATGCCAGGTGCTTATGGAGACTATAAAAATTAATCTTCATGACAAACACAATAGGCAGGCATTCTCATCTGAAATTTTACAGATAGGATCAAGAGAGGTGATGTAAATTGCACAAGGTCTACTGGTAAAAAGAAGCTGAGGTCCAAGGTCAAATATTTTTGACTCTTTTCAATATATAGCACCTTATCTTCATCCCTAAAAGGCTAGAGTTGCATTCTGTTATCCACATGGACTCATCCAGTGCTAAGATTTTATCTTATTAGGCATGCCCATTACAGGGTTTCCCACGGTTGTGCCCATATAGACCTTTCTAAGAGGACAGCCTTAGGTACTCATGTCATGACCCCCACTCCCAGTTCATAGCTGATGGACTAGAGTCTGGTGATGGGCTGAAGGTAACCACACTAACAGGGGTCTAAGGTGTGGTCTGGAATGGAAAGATTTTCCCTGGCAGGGTTAGGGATATCAGTTGAGCAAGGTAGGTTCTACCTGTCTGGAATTTGAAGTGAGAAGTTTGGTAGCAATGAGCTCCTTGGTAGGCAAACAGAAGGTGGCTCCGCACAGGGAGGAGTGGACAGACAGCATAGAGCTGAGTGATCTGCCAGCGGAACCCTGGAGTGGAGGTCCTGGGACTCCCACTGCTGAGGATGTCAATCTCCAGCATTAACACTCAGGATGCCATCCCACTCAAGTCTCCCTGGTGGCCGGCCTGGTCTTCCTGACCTGGAAGTGAAGCTTGGTTGTTCAGTTTTCTCTGAGTTCTTGTGAAGACCTACCCCATGGTTAAGATTCCTGTTTTCCATTTTCTTAAATGAATCCTTAAAATATATTCCCACTTACGTGAGGTGGGGTGAGAAAATCTGTTCCATGAAGCAAGCAAGCCCCAATGAATCATTGCTTTGATTTCTCAACTGTCTAGAAGGTGGACTCCAGCTTTGATCAAGAAGACACAGTCAAGCATAAGAACATATAGCTAGGCTGGGCGCAGTGGCTCACACCCGTAATCCCAGCACTTTGGGAGGCCGAGGTGGGTGGATCACGAGGTCAGGAGATCGAGACCATCCTGGCTAACAAGGTGAAACCCCGTCTCTATTGAAAATACAAAAAATTAGCTTGGCGTGGTGGTGGGCGCCTGTAGTCCCAGCTACTCAGGAGGCTGAGGCAGGAGAATGGCATGAACCCGGGAGGCAGAGCTTGCAGTGAGCCGAGATCATGCCACTGCACTCCAGCCTGGGCGACAGAGCGAGACTCCGTCTCAAAAAAAAAAAAAAAAAAAGAACATATAGCTAGAGGGAGGGCTTCATGCTTCAGTTTTCAATGGCTATGAGCCACACATGGTGGGGTAGCCATGTACCCCCTCACATGGCTTGTGGAGGTAAAGTTGAGAGTGTGGTTCTGACTTAGGAATGTCAGTGAATTAGGGTGCAGGGGTCGTGTTGTGTAAGGATCAGGAGTGAAGAAGGAGTTGTGTAGGGAGAATGGGAGCCTGTGATGGGTGGGATGACATCTCAGGATATATGTGGGGCATGTACTCAGGGTTCCAGGTAGTTAATCTTGGTAGTGGTTGTTTTATGAGCACTGGTTAGAAGGATAAAGAGAGGACATCTCAATAAATCTAGTAAGAAAATAACCATAATACTTTGATTACAAGTAGAGTGACAAACCATCCAGATGTATCTGGGACCAAAGGGTTTCCTGGTATGTGGGATTTGTAGAGCTGAAACCAGGAGACTACCGGGCAAGCCAGGATGCTTGGTCAATTCCAGAACTTGCAAGTGACAGAAACCCAACCCTCACTAGTTAAGCAAAAGCAGATGATTTTTTGACTAACAGGGAGGAAAGCCCTGAAACCTAGTTTGCAGAGTTCCATATGGAAAGGATTAAACCATTCAAGGAGCTCCTGCCTTGACCTTCCAGAAATTTCACCGATCAGCATGAGGAGCTTTTGTTAATCACCCATGCCCAGCCTCCTAGAGATTCTAACCCCATTGTTCTGGGCCTGGGATTCAGTGCTTTTTAAAAACCTCCCTTACGTGATTCATATATGAAATCACTGCTTTTCAGGAATAACAGGATAAGCCCATTGTTCTCAAACTTTTCTTCCCATTGCAATCATCTGAAGGGCTTAAAAAATGCCCATGTTGGAGTTCCATTCCCCAGAGATTGTGGTTTAACTTGTCTGGATGTGGCCAGGGTTTGGGGAGTTTCTGAAGATCAGCAGATGATTGTAACTTGCATACCCACAAATTTGGGATCCACTCCTAGACCCTTTCCCAGAATAGCCCCAGAATTCAAGCAGGGGAAGAGTAAGGATGTGTGGGTACTTTAGTCATCAAATAAATCAGCAAAAATCATTTGCAAACCCTATGAGCTAGCTGAAGGTCTGGTCTTGTTATTCTGCCTGAATGGAGCATGGGTACAGGTGATTAGAAGACTTTGCAGGCAGCTGGGATGGGACCCTGGCCAGACAGAGGCTGACTTTTCCATGATCCTCTCACTCTCTCCATGATTTCATGATTGTCAATCAAGGCTTCTGATAGATGTGCAGTTGAAGTCCTAGCTCTGGAACCTATGAACTTACTTGATATCAAATCATCCTCAACTTTGCTTTCCTCAGTTCTAACATGGGGATAATACCACATACAGTGGAGGACCTATATGAAGTAGTGATATGTAGCTAACATAGAACAAATTATTAGTATTTCTTTCTCTCACCACTTTGAATATCTTAGTCCCTCCAGGGACTTCCTTTAGTAATGGAATATGTGTCTGCTATTGTACAATCTCAATCTGACTCTTAATTTCTCAGAATTTATGAATTGGCAGCTGCAGAATGTTTGAATCAAAGCTGAAGTTTTCAAAGAGAATGACTATGGGATTCTGCAGTTTTGATTTTAATATCCTGAAAATGCAAATCGAGGCTTGTGTGCAAACGTAATTTTCAAATATCATGACTCAGCAGATCTCAGATTCCATGATTCTGTAGATATTCAAAACCCATGACTTAGTGATTCTCTGATATGATGGCACCGATTTTCTATTTTGGTGATCAATACACAGAAAACATAAATGTGAACCTCTAGCAATTGTGCAAAGGAATGTTCATTTCTAGAGCCAGCCTTAACTTGTTTGACCATGAATGAAGAGGGTTGTATCTGCAGCTGCGAGACTCATGTACCTGAGGCTTCCTCAGAGGATTCGATTCTACAGTTCCAGCTCATTGAAGAAATATCATCTATCAGAACAGTTGAAATTCCAAATTGAGATTAATTTTTGTTTGTCCTTTTTAAAGATAATGGATACTGCTTAGGCAATAATCGGTATAGCCGAGCATTTGCACAGTGAGCACAGAATAAGGATAAGATAATGATGCTTCTCAGATTGACTCAGAAATCTTCAGATGTAATAACTTGATGGTTTTAAGATTGAATGACTTGGCAATTCTTATAGGCAAACAATAAGATGCTAAAAATAGAGAAAAAAATTAATTCAGCATTATAGAGAGAGAATTCAGAATATCACAAGGCACAGAGACCCCAAAACACACTCAACAAGGGACAGAACATGCAGGATCTGACCATTGCTCCCTCTACAGTTGAACAAGCTGGAAGCTAGAGAAACTTATTGTGAGGGACTATCCCTGCTGATGGCCACTGGGTGGTGGGTGGGGTGGGGTGTGATTTGTGCAGAAAAACACAGAGACAGGAGACTCTGTTCCCCGCTCCATATGTGTTTTCTTCCCTCGATTTCCAGAACACATGCCCCATTAACTTTTTTCCTTGGATTTATGTATGCATTATTTATTATTTATCTTTTTGTTTTAAGATGAAACAGAAAACCAGACCCAAACAAATGTAGAGATTAGTTAATTATGATTATAAGGCAAATGTCTTTGTCACAACTACCCAGGTCAAGAAACAGAACTTTGGCCGGGCGCGGTGACTCACGCCTATAATCCCAGCACTTTGGGAGGCCAAGGCGGGCGGATCATGAGGTCAGGAGATCGAGACCATCCTGTGAATGGTGAAACCCCGTCTCTACTAAAAAAATATAAAAAATTAGCCGGGCATGGTGGTGGGCACCTGTAGTCCCAGCTACTCAGGAGGCTGAGGCGGGAGAATGGCGTGAACCCGGGAGGCGGAGCTTGCAGTGAGCCGAGATCGCGCCACTGCACTCCAGCCTGGGTGACAGAGTGAGACTCCGTCTCAGAAAAAAAACAAAAACAAACAAAAAACAGAACTTTGCAACAAACCCAAAAGCCCTCCATCATGCCCCATCCAAATTACATTGCTTCCTGTAAATGTAACTATGTTATATTGATTTTTGTAACAGACACTTCCTTGCCTTTCTTCATAATCTTACCAAGTGAGGATAGTAGTCGCTGTAGTACAGTTATGTCTATTTTGCCAGCTTGCTATGGTATATACTTATCTTTCAGTCAATCTTGAGATTACTCCTCCATCCTTTTCTTTTTTTAATATACAATTTGTCTGTTGAGTCTGGGCTCTTTTACCTGTAGAGTCTTCTAATGCGTGGATTTCAAACTGGTTATGTAGCTCAGCATGTATCCCTGCCCTATTTTCTACCAAATAACAGTGGGATCCAGAGGCTCAGTCAAACTCAGGGTCAGTCCTTTTGAAAGGTCACTGTTTATGTTGTGGCCTTTCACATTGTGGCTGGTTTTCACTGTTTTGATGTCACCAACTAATGATACCCAGTGCCTGCATCCACTAATTAATTGAGTGCTGTGAAAAGCTAATATAGTTATTGTATCACTTTGTTTTCATTTACTCTTTTAAATTTGTCAAGGTATGTTTTATAGTCCAGAATGTGATCTATTTCATGAATGTAAGCATGTAAAATTGAGGAGACTGTGTATTCTGCTGTTGTTGAATGAAGTATTCTGTAAGTGTCAATTAGATCCAGTTGATTGATGGTGTTGTTCAGTTCAACCATGTTCTTATGGATTTCCTCCCTGCTGGGTCTGTCAATTACTGATAGAAGAATATTTAAGTCTCCACCTATAAGAATAGACCCATCTATTTGTCCTCAAAATTTAATAATATTTTGCCTCATGTATTTTGACACTTTTTAGGTGCACATACACTAAGAATTGTGATGTTTGGGTGATGGAACCCCTTTATCATGATGTGATGTACATTTTTATCCCTGATTATTTTCCTTGCTCTGAAGTCTGTTCCTTCTGAAATTAATATAGCTACCACAGTTTTCTTTTAATTAGCGTTAGCATGCATATGTTTCTCTACTCTATTACTTTTATCTATATGTGTTTTTATAGTTAAAATGAGTTTCTGGTAGACAACATATAGTTGCGTCTTATTTTCTTCTTCACTCGGACACTATTTTAATTGATGTATTTAGACCATTGACATTTAAAGGGATTACTGATATAATTGGATTAATATCTAACAAGTTTCTTACTGTTTTCTATTAAATATCTTTGTTTCTGCTTCTTTCTTTTTTTTTTTGTCTCCCATTCTTTTTCTGCCTCATCTGGTTTTAGTTGAGCATTTTGTCTGACTCAATTTTTACTCTTTTAAAATGTTTTTCAGCGATTGCCCTAGAGTTTGCAGCATACATTTACAACAATCCAAGTTCGTCTCCAAATATGCTAAATCATTTTAAAGGTTTTAAAATAGAGTGTTTACAGTTTCTCCTTCCTACTCATTATAAAATTGCTGTCATTCATTTCATTTATCTCTGTGCTACATCCACACAATTCACTGTTTACTATTATTACTTTGAACAAACTATTATCTGTTAGATCCATTAAGAAAAAGAAAAATGAAAGGCTTCATTTCATCTTTATTTATTCCTTCCCTAATACTCTTCCTTTCTTTATATAGATTAAAGTTTTTAACCTATGTCATTTTCCTTCTCTCTGAACAACTTTTTAAACATATCCTGCTAGGCAAACTCCCTCATTTTTGTTTGGCTATAAAAGTTATTTATTTCTCTGTAACTTTTGAAAGATAATTACTCTGAGTGTGGAATCCTAGGCTTTTTCGTTATTCCTATAAGCACCTTAAATATTTCACTCCACTGTTTTCTTGCTTGCATGGTTTCTAAAGTCAGATGTAATTTTTATCCTTGCTTCCCAATAGATAAGGTGGTTTTTACCCTCTGACTTCTTTCAATACTTCCCCCTTGTCTTTTAATTTCTGCAGCTTGGGTATGACATGCTTACATGTAGATTTCTCAGCATATATTCTACTTGGCATTCCCTGAGCTTCCTGGATTTGTGGCTTGGTGTCTGACATTAATTTGGGGAATTCTCAGCCATTATTATCTCAAAAATTTTCTCTGTTCCCATATCTCTTATTTCTCCTTCTCATATTACCATTATGTATATGTTACATCTTTTGCAATTGTCCCATAGTTCTTGGATAATTTGTTCCATTGTTTTAATTGCTTTTTCGCTATGCATTTCAGTCTTGAAAGTTTCTATTACATTTCTTAAAACTCATTGATTCTTTCCTTGGCTGTGCTTAGTCTACTGATGAGTCCATCAAAGGTATTCTGTGTTTCTGTTATAATGATTTTACTTTTTTATCTCTGTTTATAATTGAGGAACAAAAATTATATATATTTATCATTTATAAAACATTTTGATATACGTAGATATTGTGAAATGGCTAAAAAATCAAGCTAACTAATATATATTACCTCATATATTTTTATGATTAGCACACTTAAAATCTACTCTCAGCAATTTTCAAGCATATTATATACTGTTATTAACTGTAGTCACAATAAAGTACAAGCGATCTCTTAAACTTATTCCTCCCATCTAACTGAAATTTTATACCTTTGACCAACATTTTCTCAGTTCTACCCACACGCCAGCCTCTGATAACCACTATTCTACTCTCTGCTTCTATGAATTCAACTTTTTAGATTTCATGTATAAGTGAGATCATGCAGTATTTGTCTTTCTGTATCTGACTTATTTCACTTTGTATAATATCACCTAGGTTTATTCATGTTGTCACAAATGACAGGATTTATTTATCAGGCCAAACAGTGTTCCATCGTGTACATATACCACCTTTTCTTTATTCATTCATCCATTGATGAACACTTAGGTTGATTCCATGTCTTGGCTATTGTGAATATTGTAAATACTGTCTGCTTAAAATTTGCCCACTACTTAAAATTCACCAATGTATCTTGCCTATGACAACTGTACCTGTAGTGTTCTAATGGTGTTTTTAGAATATCCCCAATTTCTTCTGCGCTTACTGACTGGAATTTTTATGTAAAGGGAAAATGATCACTTCTTTATTAATTTATGTATTCAGTTATCCATTTACATTGGATGGATTCCTGGGCATTTATTTTATTCTTTGGATTATATTCCAACACGATCATTACATTTTAGTCCAAGTTGTTCATGGGGAATGCTTTGGTCATTGCTCTTATTTATTTATTTATTTTTTAAATTTTACTTTTAAGTTCGAGGATTCATGTGCAGAATGTGCAGGTTTGTTACATAGGTATATATGTGCCATGGTGGTTTGCTGAACCATCAACCCGTCATCTAGGTTTTAGCCCCGCATGCATTACGTATTTGTTGTAATGCTCTCCCTCTCCTTGCCCCCACCCACTGACAGGCGCCGGGTGTGTGATGTTCCCCTCCCTGTGTCCATGTGTTCTCATTGTTCAACTCCCACTTATGAGTGAGAACATGTGCTGTTTGGTTTTCTGTTCCTGTGTTAGTTTGCTGAGGATGATGGCTTCCAGCTTCATCCATGTCCCTGCAAAGGGCATGATCTCATTCTTTTCCATGACTGCAAGGTCATTGTTCTTTAGGCTTAGAGCCCTTTTAGGTTTACTCCTGTGCTCTTTTGACACTCCCTCAAACCATTTTGCTTTTCCTTTGCTGGCTTAATTTGTTTTGTTTTATTTTAGCACTTCCTTCCTACTGGCACTACAAGATGTTACAGAATCTTTGTGAAGCTTCCCTGCCACAGGCCTGGAATTAACCACACCTGCAAAGAACCATGTTTTCCTTTTGTTGGAGAATGGTAATTAAAAACCACGAGCTGAAGAGAAGGCATGCTCATTGCCACGGGGTGTCAGAGCATCTAGTTCCTATCAGTGGATAGGGCTCGGAGATATATATGCTAACTCATGTATACATACATCTACATTTACTTCTGCATCTACTTTCATATAT